>NT_187592.1:153456-306913 GCF_000001405.40 Homo sapiens
CTATCTACCAAGGCCAACTCTGTTTTCTTCTGTAAACACAATAATATTTGTTGTATGGTTTTAGTATATACTGAATTCTCCAGTAATGCAACTACTTTGAAAATCAAGAGAAGTCAGTACTTTATTTTGTCAGAACATTATCGAGTGTTGTTTATCATTGAGGAAAATCATGCCACAGACAGGAAAATCCTGTCTTTACTGGCGTCTATGATGCATAGAGAGAATTGCTGGTGTATTGGTCTGCATTTGTAACCATTGCATTCATGAAAATCCTCTCTATTAGGATGCGTAAATCCAAATATCTTTAGATAGCTTTTATTTCAAAATACTGAACATAAAGTCTTCGTAACAGGCAGCCGAATGTTGCTTCACTTCTCTGAAACCCGACTGGCTCATGTGAAGGAAAGGCATGTGTTTGTCTACTTCATTATGTTTGTTCACACCGTCATGCCCAGGTGTTTACATATCGAAATACAGGCCGTTGTAAATTAACGTCCTTTGATGACAGTTTATTTTAATTAATTTCCTATCTATAATATTATTTCTCAGGAGTGTGGATTACTCATACTAGCTGTGACTTTCATTCCAAGTAAAGGAAAGTGACAACGTGTTTGTCATGAAAGCGGGTGCCATTGGTTTTCGATGGGGTTGGAAACCACAGCTCTGGGGGACACTGCCCTGCTTTGCCGCACGTTCAGATGATAGCGAATGGCTATGTGTTCAATGAGGCAGCTCTCTGTGCACGCAGTGGAAAACACACGTGTGTTCTGGGATAAATAAATAAATAATCCCTTTGATAAAGCAGGAAGTCTCTCTACAGCTTTCTCACTCTGCCACTGAAAAGCTGCTAGCTTAATAAAGCCATCAAAGTTTTCGCATTCTGACGCCACAAAGGCAGTGAATAGCGACAACTTTGACTTTTAATCGAAGCTGCAGCATTTGAAGAACAAGGAGCTCTTGAAGGCCTGGAAGCCCAGCACCCCCGGCCGCTCTCGTCCTTGGGGCTATGCGCCCGCCAGACGCTCATGATCACAGCACGAGGACGACTTGCTTTTTGAAAGGAGACCTCAATCTTGTTGCTTAACCCCCAAAACATTCATTATTTTCAGCCAAAGGATAACAAAAGTTATTTCAGAAATTTTTTTCAGCCTCATCTCTGGAGCACACTTCACCTCCTAACTTCCATTGACTTCGTCCCTCCCAGACACTCAGGAGGAGCTGGAGGACCTGGCCCAGCGATCGGAGCCTCACGGGGAAACAAGGTAGACTGCTGAGTCTCAGGAGATAAACATCTTAAAACGCTTTCAGATGTCAAATCAGTGGGCAGCAGGATTAAGAATGAGGGGGACAGGAAAGAATGGCAAGGGTAGCAAGGAAACAAGGCCTTCAGTGACAGGTGGATGGGACGGCGAGCTTAGAAAACATCAGCAGCTGCTAGAAATCTTCCTGGAGGTGATGATTCCCAGGCCCACTGGAAGCAGCACGAGGGTGCATTGTGAGCTGGGAGCAACTGAGGATCCAGGACCCACCGAGGATCCGGGACCCTGGGACCTCCCTGGACGTGCACCCAGGAGCTGAGCCACCCAGAAAACACCCAGCCGGGACACCCAGGGAAGGCCGGACTCAGCAAAGGAGCCCCCCACCCCATCCAGGTGGGGTCCTGGAAAGTGGGGCCCCAAGGCCTGGAGGTCAGGGAATTGCGTCGGGGGAGATGGTGGCAAATGGAGACTGCGCCCTGGCCCAAGAGCCCCAGAGACTGTGCCAGGTCTGCAGCCTCAGAGGGGCTTTGGGGAAGCAGCTTTCACTCTCTGGGCTGCCAAAAAGGCGTCCGGTGATGTGACCGTGACCTCTGAGCCACTGGACCCACCACTGGCCCTCTGTGGCCACCGCAGGCCCCACCTGCCAACAGGGCCCCCGCCCATGGCTACCCAGGGACAATCCTCTTGTGTCACCTTTAGGGGCTCTCCAAGCTCAGCTTCCTCCGACCCGGCCTCCCTCCCTGGGGCCAGCGCAGAATTGTGGAGGGGCAGAGGGTGCTGAGTGCCCGCACCCCTGTCTCACCCCCGTCTCCCCGAGGGGATTGCAGGCTCCTCACTAGCCGGGAGGGTTCAGATCCATCAGACGGGCCTGGCACGGGGTGAAGCTGTGAGGGCAGAAGCCAGAGTCCAGGGGCACAAGGTGACCCAACACCCAGCACTCGACGCAGAGCACCACTCACCTGATCCTCCCTGCTTCCGGGGACCATGCTTTACAGACAAGGAAATGGAGGCTCTGGAGCTTAGGTGGCATCTGAGGGCACAGGGACGCCGGGACCACCCCCTGCTCCCCAAGGCACGGCGCTCTCCTGCCTCTCATGCGCAGGTAGACCCTGTGCGTGTGATTGTCCCAGCACCGTGGTGCAGGAGCTCAAGCCCGGAGCAAGGCCTCAGGGGAGGGAAGGGAGACAGAAGGGGGAGGGCCACCTGTCTGGCCATGGGGGTCACATGGGGTGGTGCCGTCAGAAGCCGCAGGTGTTTTTATTCAAATCAAATCAATGTTATATTTAAATTAACTTTAATCAGGTGTGTCATTCAAGGCTAAGCCGGCGATGGGGGAAGGGGGCGTCTGTGGAAAGGTCCAGGTGGAAGTGAGAAAGGGAAGCGGGCACCAGGCCCGTGGCCCCGGTTGGAACACCAGGTGTGAGCGGAGCCCACTGGGGGCTCTGCCTGCTGGAGACGGCCACTCACCCCTTTGGCCTCCATCTCAGTCCATTTGGGCTGCTGTCAAAATACTATAAACTGGATGGCTTGGAACAAAAGTGTATTTCTCACAGTTTTGGAGGCTGCAAGTCTGACATAAAGGCACCGGCGGATTTGGCATCTGGAGAGGGCTTCCTGGTTTGTGGACGGGGCCTTCTCACTGGTTCCTCACATGGTGGAACGGGTGAGGGAGCTCTCTGGGCCTCTTTTGCAAGGGCACAAATCACACTCGTGGGGACCCACCTTCATCACCATCTGAACTGATCCCCTCCCAAAGGCCCCACCTCCCGCCACCATCACCGTGGGGCTGAGCATTTCGATATACGAGTTTCCTGGGGGACATGAACTAAGAGCATGGTGGCCCCCACCACGCCCGCTGCGTCCCCCTGGGGGTCTCCTCCTCCCGTCCTCATCTTGGTCTATGCCCCTTGCCCTCCTGGAACCCCTGCTGCCTCCTCTCCCTTTCTCTACTCTGCACATGCAGGCAGAGAAGAGCTGGCAGTGTGGAGATGGGGCGGGCACCCACAGAGGGGCACAGGAGCCCACCCCAAGCTGGGCACAGCAACGCTGTGGTCCTGCAGAGCAGGCAGCCCTGGGATGGTTCATGAGGGCCTAGCACACAGGGCACCTTAGAGCCTCCCCTAATGTGAAGTCCTTCCGTGAAGCTCACAGAGCAGGGAAATACATCTGAAAACAAAACCAAACTTGGATGAGACATCACCTCCAAGGTGAAACAAATTTGGAAAACTTTCCAGTGAAAGTACCTTGAAGAGACTTTAGGTTTGTATTAATTTAGATATTGCATGATTATGCTGCTATCTCACCCCCAGGAGGGAGCAGTGGGGCCCCCTCCTGCTCCAGCAACGGCCTTTCTCCATCGCCATCTCATTTCCGAGCCAGGCAACGGACGACCAGGGGCAGAGCGTCCCTGCTATGGGGGCCAGATCAGGGTTCACCTCCACTCCTAAACTGAGGAAAGGACACCTTTTTTAAGGTCAAAATTAATTTTTAAATTGCATCAAATTATCTCAAATAAAAGCATGTAGGGACATGCACATGGCCCCCTGGCTGTTTCTCAGCGCGTGTTAGAGAAGGAGGGCGTTTTCAGCCCAGCCACTGGGACGCCTGTTTCCCGCGGTCTCCAGAACAGTGCCTCCATGTGCTGCGTGGAGAGAGACTCAGAGTGTTTTACCTGCTCACACCCCAAACGCCAGGCTCCTTGTGCTGAAACGATGGCTCTGGTCTATGCCCTGCTAAGCGCTTGGCACGACTACGATCTCGGAATAAAATTAGTCTTTGATTCTTCATCCCAGTGGAAATTGCAGGGCTCCAGCCTCTCCACTTTCTTAATGGTTTCTTCACTACAAAGACTCAATTGAATGACCCTGTCAGCCATCTCCAAGGTTTGGAATTAAATGTACCTAAGTGTAAATCAATAGAAAGGGAATCAAAAACTAAAAGGCTGGATTATTTTTGCAGATCTCTTTGTGCAAAACAAGTTTGCATTGAACCCGGGACCACCTGCGACCCCAGAGCAGCTCCGCCTTCCAGCTTCAGGTACATGAATATAATGGAGGAGCTTTGATGAGCAAAGATTAATCACAAGATCTATCAAAATGGAATTATGATTTTGACCCACTCACCTCCAAGAGCTGCTGGATAGCAAAATTAGAAAATCCGGAACTATAAGTGTTCCATTTTAAACTGCAAGAGATACTGCGCTGGCAAGCATCTCCTCAGCCCCTCCTCATTCCAGACTCAGGTGACCCCAGTCCTTCATGCAGATTTGGAATGCGTTGCATTCTCAAACAGTGGGATATGCAAGAAAGATCCACAGGCGTATATAGAACCCAGTGCAAGGCAGCTCTCGGCGCTGCCAGCACCTCCCCACTCCCTCTAAGCACAGTACCTCCAAAAACTCTGGAGCTTCCTCTGGTCTCATACCTCTGGCAGCGACCCACCTGCCACCTTTGCCAGTCTGTGCATGTGCGAAACCTCAGACTTGCCAACCCACTACCTTGGCTACAAAACCTGTTTTTAATTTCCTCTTAGACACCAGTGCCTGGTAAATTATTAGCACGTCGTTTCTTCCAGGAGTGTTTCATGTTGCAATGGTAGCCCCCGTAACACAACATGTTAAGCAAAGGAAGAACATTCTGACAGTAAAAATGCAGCCACCTGAGCTAATCAGAAGGCTTCTTTGTGCCTCAGGTTGTAAGGAGCTGCACCTTCCCAACCTCTGGTTGGTTCTATGGACCACTGCCAAATTTCCAGTGGTCAGCAGGAGCCCATACAAGATGGCAGAACTAATATTCTATTCCAAACATTCACAAATCAAAGTGCCAAAGCTGTAGGGTTTTATTCATTCTGCATTGCTGTAGGAAATACGAGTTTTGCCTTCAGCTTCAGTAAAGCTGAAGCCTGGGTGAGTGGGCGCTGGATGCTTAATTTCGGGGTCAGCAAGTGAGAAAAAGTTTTCACTCATCCATCACAAAATTTAAGAGTAGTCAGAGTGAAGCTTTTTTGCTAAGTTGACCTTATCTGTAAAACATGTGAATGACAGAGATCTTTGAACATTAAAAAAACAACAACAAAAACAAACAAACAAAAAAACTGACACGTTCTACATCTTATCTGGGACCTCGGAGTTCTGGAATGCACCTGTCTAAATGAAGGCTAGAAAAGAGCTTGGGAGATGTGGGGGAGTGAAAGAAAGTAAATGGAGAATTTGGGGTCAAAAAGAAAAAAGTGTGTGTGTGTGTGTGTCTTGTGGCTGTGTCGTGGTTTTATGTATGTAAGTGTGTGTATGTGTATATGTATGTGGTGTGTGTATATTTTCTGTTTGTGGTGTGTGTATGTGTATATGGGATGTGTATGCATGTTGTATGTGTGTGGTGAGTGTGTATGCATGTGTATGTGTATGTGTGATTATGTATGTATGTGTAGGATGTGCTTGTGTGCGTGTTGTGTATAGTGAGTGTACATGTATATGTATGTGCGATGTATATATGTATGGGTGTAGAATGCGCACGTGTGTATTGTGTGTGTGGTGAGTGTGGATCCTTGTGTGTAATGTGTGTATGTGGAATGTGCATGTGTGTTGTGGGGGAGTGTACATGCATGCACATGTGTGATGTGTGTATGTGTGGGTATGTGTGTATATGTGTGTAGACTGTGCATGTGGGTGTTGTGTGAGTGTACATGCATCCATATGTGTTGTGTGTGTGTGTAGAATGTGCATGTGTGTTGGAGTATACACATATGTGTATGTGTGATGTGTGATGTATGTATGTATAGTGTGTATGTAGGGGAGGATGTTTATGTGTTGTGTGTGTAGTGTGTATATGCATGTGTATGTGTAATGTATGTGTGGGTGTATATGTGTGTATGTGTGTAGGATGTGCATGTGTGTTGAGGGAGTATATATGCATGTGTATGTGTAGTGTATGTGTGGGTGTATATGTGTGTATGTGTGTAGGATGTGCATGTGTGTTGGGGGAGTATATATGCATGTGTATGTGTGATGTGTGATGTGTGTGTGTGTATGTAGTGTGTATGTAGGGGAGGACGTTTATGTGTTGTGTGTGGTGTGTATATGCATGTGTATGTGTACATGGGATGTGTATATGCATATGTGTTGTGGTGTGTATGTGTGTATGGTCTGTGTGTGTCTATAACAAATAACCAAATGACTGGATCTCTATGTTTTGAAACAGAACCCCTTAATTCTGTTTGGAAAACGATGTTCTTGCTGTGGACATCGGGATTTCTGTTCCCCAGGAAGAGTGATGGGTCTGCCACAACCTGATATTTCTCCAAGAATAATTTCAGGTTAAAAAACATCCATAGTAAGGTGAAGGTCTCAGCAAATGTGAAATAACATCTCACTGCCAGTTCCCACGTCCCAGGCAAAAATTCCTTTAAGTTAATTATACATTATCTGAACCAGTGTGTACATGTTCAGTCTCTTCATATCTGTACACATCTTCTAGCACTTTTGTTCTGATTTCTAAAGAACCTTGACTAATTCACTTTAGCAAGAAGCTAATCCCGCACTGTAGGGCTAAGTATAAAACAAGTGACATTCTCAAATGGGTGACAGAAACGTGCAGGCGAGGGATCATTAAGTGTTCATTAGCCACGTGCCGTCACGTTAACCATGGGGTGTCGCACCAGTTTTCTCTTCTTTGTCATGAGCCAGCACTATCCCCCTTTCATGGAGCAAACCACCAGGGCGAATGGTGCCCACACCTCCCGCTTCCACTCTGCTTGTCACACAGTGGTCCCTGAGCTGCATTTCCATGACCACAGTCTTAGAAGTCCACTCAGAAGAGGCTGTTACCCAGGCCTGTTGGTAACAGTGGTGAGTAACTGAAATGGTCAAGTACCAGAAAAAATATATTTTTTCAGACTATTCAATATATACAACTGTTAGAGCCATGTGTGAATATAGTCATTTTCTTTCAACTCATGATTTTAGAATCTTAAAGATGGCCACGTAACCCAGACATTTAGGATTCCCAGGTTTGTTTTTATTTTATTTTCATTTTTTAATAATTTCCATTTTATTTTAGATTTGGGGGTACATGTGCAAGATTGTCACATGGGCATGTTGTGTGATGCTCACAGACTGAGGATAGTACCAACAGTTACTTTTGCAGCCCTTGCCCCACTTTCTCCCTCCCACTTCTAGTCCTCCCCTGTGTCTATTGTCGCCATCTTTATGTCTATGAGTACCCAAAGTTTAGCTCCCACTCATAAGTGAGAACACATGGCATTTGGTTTTCTGTTCCTGCATTAATTTGCTTAGGGTGATGACTCGTAGCTGCATCCATGTTGTTGCAAAGACGTGATTTTGTTTTTTTATGGCTGCATAGTATTCCATTATGTAAATGTACCACATTTTCTTTATCCAGTCCACCATTGATGGGCATCTAGGTTGATTTCATGTCTTTGCTATGGTGAATAATGCTACGATGAACACACACATACATGTGTCTCTTTGGTAGAATGATTGTTTTCCTTTGGGTACATACCCAGTAATGGGATTGCTGGGTCAAATGGTAGTTCTGTTCTAAGTTAAGAAATCTCCAAACTGCCTTCCACAGTGGCTGAACACTTTACATTTCCACCAACAGTGCATGAGCATTCCCTTTCCTCTGCATCCTCACCAACATGTGGGGTTTTTTTGTTTGTTTGTTTTTGTTGTTGCTGATTTTTACTTTAATAATGGCCACTCTCAGGTCCACCTACACTAAAAATGGCCCCAAAATAAATCGGTTGAAGAAATTAGATCCCAAAGATTCTTGATTTTTTCCTAGGTGAATTTTGAAGTCTTCATCAGTCTATCCATATTAAAAGGAGATGACAGAAGCCAAAATAAAAGAATTATAGGCTGACAGGACCACTGGATTAAAATAAGCATCAGTTTCATTAAAAAGGGCTAACTTGAAAATAAATCTTTTGAAGACAAATTGTTACTCCAGCTCTCTAAATAAAGTGACCTTGATGGACAGAGGAAGAAATCACACCATGGAATTCCTTGAGTAAATTTATTGACTTTAAAAATAATAATAATAATAATGGCCATTCTGACTGGTGTGCAAAGGCATCTCATTGTGGTTTTGACTTGCATTTCTCTGATGATCAGTGATGTTGAGCATTTTTTCACATGTTTGTGGGCCATTGGCATGTCTTCTTTTGAGAAATGTCTATTCATGTCTTTGGCCCACTTTTTTAATGGAGTTATTTGGTTTTTGCTTGTTTAATTCATTAAGTTTCTTATAGATTCTGGATATTAGACCTCTGTTGGATGCATAGTTTGCAAATATTTTCTCCTATTCTGTAGGCTGTCTATTTACTCTGTTGATAATTTCTCTTTCTATGAAGAAGCTCTTCGGTTTAATTAGGTCTCACTTCTCAATTTTTGTTTCTGTTGCAATTGCTTTTGAGGACCTAGTCATAAATTATTTACCAAGGCCAATGTCCAGAATGGCGTTTCCTAGGTTTTTTTCTAGGATTCTTATGGTTTGTCGTCTTATATTTAAGTCTTTAATCTGTCTTGCATTGACTTTTGTATATAGTGAAAGGTAGGGGTCCAGTTGCACTCTTCTGCATATAGATAGCCAGCTATCCTAGGACCATTTATTGAGTGGGGTGTCCTTTCCCTGTTGCTTATTTTTGTCAACTTTGTTGAAGATCAGGTGGCTCTAGGTGTGCAGCTTTATTTCTGGGTTATCTGTTCATTCTTTTGGTCCATACGTCTGTTTTTGTACCAGTACCATGCTGTTTTGGTTACTGTAGCTTTATAGCATAGTTTGAAATCAGGTAATGTGATGTTTCCAGCTTTGTTCTTTTTGCTTAGGATTGCTTTGGATGTTTGGGCTCTTTTTTTGTTCCACGTGAATTCTAGAATAGTTTTTTTTTTCTAATTCTGTGAAAAATGACATTGCTAGTTTGATAGGAATGGTGTTGAATCTGCACATTGCTTTGGGCATCGTGCCATTTTAATGATGCTGATTCTTCCAAGCCATAAGCATATTTGTTTGTGTTATCTATGATTTCCTTCAGCAGCGTTTTGTAGTTATCTTTGTAGAGATCCTTCACCTCCTTGGTCAGATGTATTCCTCGGTATTTTATTTCTTGTGGCTATTGTGAATGGGATTATGTTCTTGATTTGCTCTCAGTTCAAATGTTATTGGAAATGCTACTGAATTTTGTATATTGACTTTGTATCCTGAAACTTTTTACTGAGGTCATGTATGAGTTCTGGAGCCTTTTGACAGAGTCTTTGGGGTTTTCCAGGTATCAAATCGCATTAGTGAGAACAGATAATTTGACTTCCCCCTTTCCCTGCTAGGATGCCTTTTATTTCTCTCTCTTGCCTGATTTCTCTGGTCAGGACTTCCGGGATTCCCAGTTTTAATTCTTAGTCACTCTTAGTTCCAACAGTTGGAGCACCGACAACTGTGAATTTATGACTGTACTCCACAAAGAATGTCTAGGCATTTAACCATGCTGTCTGCATTCAGTAGCTATCGGGAATAACAGCTGTTAGACTTGAGCAAACGTATTGATGGGAACATGGCTAGGAAACATCTTTAAAGTTTCTTTAACCCTGTTTCCCTGTTTGTCCTGCCAGCTAATGATATTCTTTGAAAGAAAAACTGAATTTAAACTCTGCTAACAGAGGCCTAACTCCATAGCAATGTGTTTTACAAATAGTAGGTCTTGATAAACATTTCTAGCACAGTTTTACATCGAACTCATGATCAACACTTTTCTCCTAGTTTTCCAATTAATAATTCTATGTAATCAAGTATTTTTTTCTTTCACTGTGATGTGACTCCATCCTCATACAATGTATTTTGTATTTGATTTTGCCAAAATTATTTCTTAAAGCAACATTGGATTCTTTATTTGAATTCAAGAAACTAATACAAAACGGAGCCTGAATATATGGAATTGGTCTCAGAGAACACACTTGCCCAGATTTTCCAGGCCAGTCTTGGCCATCCTGGGAAACTCTGCCATTTTGTGCTACTGGTTTCATAGCCAATCGTGGCCAATATACTGGATTGTATCACATGTAGAAATCTACAATTAATCTGATTCCATGTAATCTGATCCTCTCAGCAGACATACTCCATAAGAAGACAAGAAAAAGGAAGGAAAGGAAAGGGAAGGGAAGGGAAGGGAAAGGAAGGGAAGGGAAGGGAAGATGGATAGATGGATAGATGGATGGATGGTTGGATGGATGGATGGATGGTATAGAAAGCTTTTAGGAGATTTTCTTTCTCAGGTAAATATTTTGCTTTCCCAGAGGAGACAGCATTCCCCCTTGGCATTTCACTTTTGTCTCCAACACTTAGAATTTCTAGTAGCGGGACCTCTGGACTGCAGGGCTATTATAGACCACTGAGGTCAAGGTTGATGCATCCAGGAAGGTGCCCTGCATTTTCTTGCTAGTCTTCAAAGACTCCTCCTGTGGACACTTCCTGGGCAGGAAGTGTCATTGGCCACGATCCTGCTGTGACCCTCCATTCTGCATCCAGGTTCTTTCTGCCTTTTAAAGCATCGGCATAATGTCTCTACAATTAATCTGTAAAGCAGCAGAACTTTGTGATTCTGACACAGTTAATCGTTCCCAGTATCTCTATTTAAAGCTTTCTAAAGACAAAAGTAAAGAAGACAATTATACAGATTGCAGAGACCAGAGTAAGATAAGCTTGGAGAGAAAGAGAAACTCAGAGAGCCAACAACAATATAACATAAACAGCTCAGCAAATAATAGTGCAATTTCCCAGCTAATAGAATGGTTTAACACCTGAATACATTCACATGCCTGATTAAGCACTAACAACATACATCCATAAAGGAAGATTATAAGTTGTAATATGCCTTTGCAAGAAGCAGCATATTAACCACTATTTGTATACTTCTCCAATTACATTCCTTTAATTCTTTCATTTAGAAAACAGTTTACATTATAATAGCCAGCATCACTTCTGTTTTTAAAACAATTGGTTATGTGTATATTGCCAAATTATGGGTCTACGGGATATTTTCATAAGAGAAAACAATTGCCAACATGCCTGGAAAAGGATCTTTAACTCCCCTGGAAAAGGGGAGTCTGGTGACATACGGATGCATGGCCATTCCTTCTCACTATGCCAACGCTTCCCAGTGGGTTGAACAGCCCATTTTTTCTTCTCAAGTTTTCTGTGAGCAGAGATTTGTCTTGCAGACATGAAACCCGGACAGTGTGGGCCTGTCCAGCTCCCTTCTTGCTCCCTGTGTGCTCCATCCAGGAGCCCAGCCCTCCCAGGTCACTGCACCCACCGGGGTCTGCATGCTGGTTTGTCGCCAGCTATTCTGTGGCAAAGGCCTCCAACACACCTTCCCTACCCAAATCCCAGCACCCTGCTGGTCCCACCCAGCTCAGTATCTGGCCTGCACAGGGTCTCCCCTGGGACCCAAACATGGCAGAAACCAAGATGCAATCAGCAACAGCAACAGAGCCTTGGAGACAAAAGCCAAACCAGCGAAAAGCACCACCGTTCGGACCAGAGCAAGCCAGGCACTGCCTCCTTGTGATAAGCAACAGGAAACTCCAGGTGGAGGCAGGAGGAGCCTGGGCGGTGTTGGGGCTCAGAAGGCCACACCCCAAAGCCTGGCTGGGACCAGCTGAGAGGCCCAAGGAGCTGTCTCCGAATTAGGGCCCCCTGGCCTGGACGCCAGCCCCGCCAGGTGCTGAGAGGGGCTCTCTCTGGAATTCCTTGTCTGCCTACCAAAGCAGCTTCAATGCAGTTGTCTTACATCTCCCACCCTGGGAATCTCATCAATGGCCACGAAAGCTCAACCATCTGGGAAGGGAGGGAACAGGGGTTCCCCACACCTGGACTTCTCATCTGTTCTTCCAAGAGCAACTTCAAGGGAGGTTTTGGGGGACTTGATCTGCATAGTGAGGCGACCTTTATTCTCGTGCAGCTCCATCCCCCACCTTCCTGCCTCCACCTCCCGGGGCCATTCACTTTTCCCTGATGATTTATTGTCCCTCAGAAGAACTTCCCACCCTCGCCAACCCCCCACTCCCCTGTGGAAAAGGACACATCAGCCTCTGCACTGTGCAACACATTTGGGAAATCACTGCAATTTCCCCCAGGCCCAGTCATGAACTGCACGTGCCTTTTCTCTGATCAATCTGCCTTTTATCAGTTGATTTTGGACCAAACCTTCAGAGGGTGGGTAAAGGGGAAGTGAGCACACAGAGAGGCAGGCACAGCCAAGGAGCCACCCTGGGCAGGTGCAGCCTAAGCTTTGGCTCTAAGTGGAGAAGCTGAGCCTGAGAAGTGAGGTCTGGCAGGGCAGGTTGAGTCGGCATGGACCTAGGGAGGGTCCTGCCCCATGGCCACACACCAGCAATGCTGCTACCAGGGAAGTCACAGAGGAGGGGCTGGGCCCAAAGAGGGTTGAAGGGTTGTGCTTTGAAAGCCAAGTTCGAGGTCAGGGACGGTTGGCACTGAGGGATCCCAGGGCTTCACAGACCTGCTCAAAGGAACACAATTTTTCCCAATGTCCTAGGAAAGTATGACAGCAGAGGGAGGGGCTTGGTCCCAGTCTAATGGTGTAGAAAGAATGCCAAGACAATAAACAAGCAAGCCACCCTTCTATGCATTAACTTACTGCTATCAACTGGATTCTGTGCCCCCAAACACGTGTGTTGGCGCTGTAACCCACAATGAGATGGTATTTGGAGCTGGTACTTTAGAAGCTAATTAGGTTTAGATGAGGTCAGGAGGGTGGGGTCCCCATGATGGGATTCCTGTCTCCATAAGAACAGGAACAGGTCAGGGTCCTCTCTCTGCCATGTGAGGACACAGCAAGGGGGCTGCTGTCTGCACATCAGAGAGAGAGCCCTCACCAGGAAATGAATCTCCCAGCACCTTGATCTTGGACTTCCAGCCTCCAGAACTATAGGAAATCAATGTCTATTGATTAAGACACACAGTCTGTGGTATTTTGTCCCACAGCCTGTGATGACCAAGACACTCACTTAACACCATAAAGGGGTGTGGTAAGAACACAGCACGAAGGACCCAGCTCCACCCTCACTGCTCCCACACCTGTGTCCTCCCACTTGGGGCTGGTGCCCAGCTCCACCCCTTAGCCCTGGCTGAGCCCCATGCACTGTGGTTTGTAAGCAAACAACACACCATCAAAAGCTGGGAAGTACTTACACCCAAGTCCTGATGGCCCCTGCTCCTTTTCCACCACGGTCATGAGAACATGCCCAAGCCAGCCTGAGGGGAGAGGCACACGGTCTGCATCTCCACAATACCAGCTGAGAGCCAATTGCCGTGAGTGAATGAGAATAGCTGAGTGAGCCCAGCCCAGACCTGAAGAACTGCCCAGCTCAGCCTAGCCAATGCTGCTGGCCACAGACTGAGTTTTGGGGTGGTTTGCCATGCAGCATTATGGTGAAAACAAATGGCTTAGGCCTGTAGGAGCTATCAGCTCAGAGGCTCAGAGGGGTATTTGATTTGTCTGAGGTCATCAGCTAGTAAGCCACTGACCAGGAATTAAATCGAGCTGGTATGACCATGCTGAGCACTTAGCCTAGTGCACACTGCCTCCCAGAGCCTAACCCACCATGGACACATGTCCTGCAAGCATGCACTCATAGAGATGCATGGATTGGACTAGAGGAAAATAGGAGTTGCATCTGCTTCCCTGCTATTCCCACTGAGGACAAGAGAAAGCCCCGGATGCTGTCCACAAGACAAATAGAAGAAGTCTTAGAGAGGTGGAGGGAAGAAGGCAGATCAATTGGGGACCTTGGATTGAGGAATTGCCCAGGAGGGAGTTCCCTGGGTTTTCCTTTTGCCTCATGTCTCCCAAGTGGGTGCTGGAGAAGCTGGCAGCACAGAGATGGCCATGGATTCAGACCAAAAAAGACTCTGGAAAAGCCTACCCTCTGCAGCCACAAGACCAAGGAAGTAGCAGCCCTGCAGGACACAGTAACTTCTCTCCTCCAGCCAAACACTACGGAGCTGTGGCCCTGTCCCCACCCCTCCAGCAGAAGTCAAGTGGGGAGCCTGGACTTCTGCCCTCAGCACACTGTCATGAGATGCCCCAAACCCCTCTTTGGGTGGCATGGGAACAGGCTGATGGAGGGGGGCTTGGACTTCCACCCCCACCTGGTGGTAACAAGGCCATTCTCCTCCCCACCAGGATGGTGACAAGGGAGGCAGCAGGAAGTGGGAACTCTCATCACCCCCCCCAGCAGTCATGAGGCCACCACCCCTGTAGTATCACCTGGGGCCATGTGGAACCAGTAACAAGGCACTCCTGCTCCACCTGCTGCCAGCCGTGCAGAGGAGCCCCACCGTGCCAGTATCAATGAGGGCAGAGAGGGAAGCTGGACTTCCACTCCCAGCGTGACAGTGACACGATGGCACCTGCCCTCACCCAGGGTCAGAGAAACCTGCTAAATGGCAAGATGCAGGTAAAATGCAGAGTCTTACAATATGACACACAAACTGCCCAGGTTTCCATCAAAAATCACTTGTCATATCAAGAACTAGGAAAATCTCAAATGGAACAAGAAAAGACAACTAACAGAGACCAACACCAAAATAACACAGACATGAGAATTATCTGACAAGGGTGTTAAAGCAGTGATCATAAAAATGCTTCAACAAACATTTACAAACACTCTTGAAACAAATGAAGAAATAGAAAGTCTCAACAAATTAAAGGTTTCAGCAAACAGTAGAAAATTTAAAAAAAAGAACCAAATGGATATTTTAAATCTAAAAATACAATATCTGAAATTCTAAAAATCACTAGATGGGATCAATAGCAGCATAAAAAGACAGAAAATAATCAGCAATAATATAAATTTCTCAATGTAATCCACTATATTAGCACACTAAAGAAAAAAGAATTACATGATCATATGTATTCATGCAGGAAAAAAATGACAATTCTTTCCAAAATGACACACAGGTTTAACACAATTTTCATCAAATTCCAGCTTTTCTTTTGCAGATATAGACAAGATTATCCTAATATGTAACATGGAAAGCCAAAGGAAGAGGAGTAAACAGTTTTGAAAAATAATACTAAAGTGGAAGCAATTGCCCTTCCCATTTCCCAGACTTTCATGTTGCTTCAGCAGTCAGGACAATGTGGCACTGGAGAGGCATAAACACGCAGATTAACCAAATAGCAGAGAGAGCCCAGAAATAGCCCCACACACGCATGGCCAGCTGGTTTTTAACAAAAAGCCGAAAGCAAGTCAATGGAAGAAGAACAGAGCACCAATTTAAATGTAAGTCTTATCACGGAAACATCCAGAATAATTTTTTTTTTGAGACAGTTTAGTTCTTGTCACCCAGGCTGGAGTCCAATGGCTCATCTTGGCTCACTGCAACCTCCACCTCCCAGGTTCAAGCGATTCTCGTGCCTCAGCCTCCAGAGTAGCTGGGATTACAGGTGCGTGCCACCACACCCAGTAAATTTTTGTATTTTTAGTAGAGATGAGGTTTCACCATGTTGGCCAGGCTGATCTCGAACTCCTGACCTCGGGTGATCCACCCGTCTCAGCCTCCCAAAGTGCTGGGATTACAGGTGTGAGCCACTGCACCCAGTCCAGAATAATTTTTGACCAAATGTCTGGGTACCATGGCCCAGCCAAGCTGACATAAATTTAATCATCGCAGAGCCCAATGGAAGCACAAGGTCTTTATAAATCAAGAGAAAGGCAGAAGACAGAACTGGAGATGGGGAGACTTTGCTGCTGGAGAAATGTGGGCAGCCCCGGATGGTGGAGGAGACAAGGAGACAGATTTCCCGGAGCCCCCAGAGGAAATGCAGCCACACAGCACCTGGCTTCAGCCTCGAGGCCCAATTTGGACTTCTGGCTTTCAGAACTGGTAAGATAATAAATCAGTGTTGTTCTAAGGCACTAAATTTGCAGGAATTTGTTAGAGAAGCAATAAGAAACTAGTTCAGGTGTGAACAGACATGTTCCCAAGAGGGTGCACAGGTGGCAAGCACGCAAGAAGACGTGAGCATCACCAGCTGTTGGGGAAATGCAAATTAAGGTCACAAGAGATTGCCACTACACTCCTATCAAACAGCTACAATGCAAATACAGCCAATAGCACATACGGGCAAGGACAGCGAGAAGCTGGATTTCGCATATGTTGCTGGTGGCCATGGAAAATGAAACAGGGACTCTGGAAATAGTTGGGCACTTTCCTGAAAAACTGAACCTACACATGCCACATGACCCAGCAATTGCACTGCTAGGCATGCACGCCAGGGGAGCGAAAACTTACGTCCACACAAAACCCATACACAGTTGTCTATATTAGCTTTATTTGAAACAGCCTCAAACTAGAAAGGACCAAAGAGTTCTTCAATACAAGAACAGATAAGCAAAGTGTGGTGCAGCTATGCCATGGAGTGCCTGCTGCTCAGCCATGAAAAGGAACTGTTGACGCAGCCAGTGACTTGGATCAATGTCGAGGGCATTATGCAGAATAAAAGAAAAGCCCATCTCGGAGAAATCACCCTTCTAGATAATATTCTCACACGACAAAATTACATACAAGGAAAACAGATGAGTGCTGGCTATGGGAGGACGTAGAGGGCAGTGTGATGGAGAGCTCATGGATGTGGAACAGTCCTGTGTCTCAAATGCAGCTGTGGTTACACAAATCTACACATGATAAAATGACAGAACCACACACATGCATTTCACCAATAGAGGCAGTCCCTGATGTATGTTCAGCTTACAACTGTTTGACTTTATGACGAAACAAAAGCCATCCACATTCAGTAAGAAACTGCACTGTGAGTTTTGACCCTTTCCTCGGCTAGTGATACGTGCTGTGATACTCCCTTGCCCTGCAGGGCAGCAAGGTGCAGCCCCCAGTCAGCCGGGGAATCACGAAAGTCAACAGCCCACTCTGTGTGTTGCTAGAGATTTTTGGATACTCTGTTTTGTGTTTTCACATCCCATCATGTCTACAAAATGCCCACCTGTGTAAAGTATTCAACACTTTAGTATAAAATAGGCTTGATGTTAGATAGTTCACCCAACCGTGGGCTAATATAAGTGTTCCGAGTAAGTCAGGCTAGCAATCTCTGGTTAATCTGGTAGGTTAATCACCTAAACTACCAACTGTGATTTGGTGTATTAAATGCATTTTTGACTTGTGATATTTTCAACTTATGATGGGTTTTTCAGGAGGTAACCTCATCATAAGTTGAGGGATGTCTGTAATGTTATTTTGGTCTGTCTTTTGCTTGATATTTCTTTATATGTATATATCAAGGAATTTCAAGAAATGTATATATATATTTAAATATATACTTATTTATTTAAATATATGTAATTATTTAACCATATGTACTTATTACTTATTTTATATGTACTTATTAAATATATATTTAAATATATACTTATATATAAATAAATAATATATAAATATATATTTTTTTAGTGTGCAGCAAAAAACAGAAGGAACTGTGATGCATTAATCTATTTTGCCCATTTACACTTACCTGGTTTTGCTACTGTACTAAGTTATGTAGAATGTAAACATGGAGTAAACTGAGCAAAGAGCATGCAGGACCTTCTTGTACATTTCTTTGCAACTTCCTGTGACTCTGTCATCATTTCATAATTAAAAGGCTCTTAAAAGAGTATGAACAATTAACCAGGTGTGGTGGTGCCTGCCTGTGGTTCCAGCTACTCAGCAGGCTGAGGCAGGAGGATCTCTTTAATCCATCAAGGCTGCAGTGAGCTGTGATCGCACCACTGCACTCTAGCCTGGGTGATGGAGCGAGACCCTGTCTAAGAATAAAACAAAAAGCACATGAATAAAGTTATCCAAATCCTACAAAACTGTAACTCGAAACTTGGGTCCTTTCTGAAAGAATAAAGGTTTAAAAAACTAGACTTGATAACATGAGCATTGCAATCTGGAACCACTTTGGGCCATAAAGGACTGATTCTGTTGAAGTTTGACTCCAGGGTTGCACAGATTGACATACCGCCCCACCCCACCCCACCACCAAACAAGGAAACGGAGTGTAGCCCTCAGACCGTGGCATGGACCTTGGTTCACTATATTTAACAAAATCCCAGCAGAGGAAAGACAGGCCCAGCTATTCCTGCAGAGATTGTCCCGCTCCGCACACATACTTGTTCCTTCTTCCACCACTCATCCCAGCACCACCAAACTCAGCCCTCAAACTCTTGCTTAGAGCAGGGTGTACAGGAGAATGAGGAGGAAAGAAACTGGGCCTTAAAAAGTTGGAGGACAGACAAGTAGTTGCTCACCACTTTTCAGAGCAACTAGAACTTATGGGAGAACTTTCCAAACACAAGCGAAAGGAGAAGAAATACATGGCAATTCTGCAAACATACTAAAACAGATCTCTATAAAATAAAAGAACACCAAGCAAAAGACACACCAAAATAACAACACAAAAAAAAACAACTCTAAAGGCAGAAAGCTATGGAATAACCGGCAAACTATAGAAAAGCTCAAAGGTGAGATTTTACACACACAAAATAGAATTGGATGAAAATGAAGCTATTGAAACACATTGAGGACCTAAAATGTTATAAACAGCAATGATATAATGACAGAAACAGTAAGAAACAAAATAAATACCTCTAGAAATTATTACCACAGATAAAAACACAGTGAATACAGATTTTTTTGACGACAAGAGGGTTACAGCAATTAAGGAAAAGCTAATGGTTAAGGAAGACAGATGGAGAAGGTCCAGCGTAAGGAAACAGGTGCCTGGGGGTAGAGAACCAGAGAGATGGATTGATGACATATTCAAAGACATGAGATTAAAAAGTGCCTGAAGTGAATAAAGATTGGGTCTGCAGATCAAAAGGACATATCTTCTTCCTGGGAAGTTTAACAGAGAACAGAAATGCCAAGGCAAATCCTAATTCTGCTGCTTAATTTCAAGATAAAGAAAGAATAACTCGGGTCTTCACACAGCCAGAGCAGATCATCTGCAAGAGGGGGTCCATGTCAGGTGGTCCACAGAGCGCTCCACACAGCACTCAGGATCTGCAACGGGGAAACTGTAACAACTCTTAGGGAAGGAGGGCTGGCCCGTGAATCTTGTTCCCCCACAAGTCACTGTTAGATTCTAAAGCCAACAACCTAAGTTCTCAGGTCTGAAGATGTCCTGGGATAGAACATCTCTGAGCTCTTCTTAGGGGAAATAAGAAGTTCATGGCCAATTAACATTGAATCAAAAGAAAGGAAGTGAGAGGAAGGGAGAGTGAAGCCGTCCTCGTATTTCAGATCAGGAAGTCGGCTGTTCCTGTGGAAAAGTGAAACTTGCACGTTTAAAAAAAAAATGCATTGACTCCAAATACCTAAGTTTTTCCCCAGAGTCTCCCCTCCTCTCCTGTGAGCAATGACTGAGAGAGAGGAAATACTGGACGTTCATCAATTCCTTCAGTTGTTCTTCAGGTTTTTTTCCCTCCATTAAATCTGAGTAAATTTGAAGAATTACTTTTGTTGCAGGAGTGAGGTGGTGTGTTCCCACCTTTATTACCTTATGTTATTACCCCACAGGTGTTTGCGTCCACAGAAGAGCTCCTCACACCATGTCTATCTCTCCACGCGCCCACCAGCCTGTGCACGTAAACATAGATGAAGAGGTGTCTGCCACGATGTTAACCTGATATTCATGGTGGTCGTGGCTGCGGGACAACTGGGGTCATTTTTTAATTTTCACGTTTTTGTCGTTTCATTGCTTAAGTTCTCTATAGTGAGTATGTATTATTAGCGTATTTATAAAAACAAAACCATGATTTTTCAAAAATTAAAAACATCAAAGGCAAATATTCTAAGATGCTAACAGTGTTAATTTTGTACAATGGAACTAAGTATGTTTGCATTTTTCTTGTTTTGTTTTGTTTTGTTTTTGTGAGATGGGGTCTCACTCTGTTGCCCGGGCTAGAGTGCAGTGGCATAATCACAGCTCACTACAGTCTCTGTCTCCCCAAGGTCAGGTGATCCTCCTACCTCGGCCTTCTAAGTAGCTGAGACTACAGGTGCATGCCACCACACCCAGCTAATTTTCGTATTTTTAGTAGATACAGGGTTTCACCTTATTGGTCAGGCTGGTCTCGAACTCCTGACCTCAGGTGATCCACCCGCCTCGGCCTCCTAAAGTGCTGGGATTACAGGTGTGAGCCACCGCACCCAGTTTTTTTTTTTTTTTTTTTTTTTGAGATGGAGTCTCGATCTGCTACCCAGTCTAGAATGCAGTGACACAATCACGGCTCACTACAGCCTCTGCCTCCCCAAGGTCAGGTGATGCTCCTACCTTAGCCTTCCAAGTAGATGGGACTGCAGACATTTACCACCATGCCTGGCTAATTTTTGTATTCTTTGTAGAGATGACGTTTTGCTCTGTTGCCCAGGCTGGTTTCAAACTCCTAGGCTCAAGCGATCCACCCACCTCAGCCTCACAAAGTGCTGGGATAACAGGTGTGAGCCACTGGACCTAGCCTTGCATTTTTCTTTTAATTTTTAAAATTTTTACATTTCCAAAAATTAAAAAAATAAGGAAAGCCTGTTTATTTTAAAAGAGCCATAAAGAGTTCTTTCCTCTTTCCCCTGGAAGATGCAGGAAACAAATCTCTATTGGTATATGACAGAAACAATCTCTCAACTGAAATGCAACCATGGAGAAAAAACTTCTAGGAGTCATATGCTGCTGCTATGACAGTTATGCAAATGAATTAAAGTCCCCATTCAAAGAAACTGGTATAAATAGATTAATTTGTTAAATTCCCTTCTGGTTTTAATGTTGCATGCAAATACAAATGCAAAGGGAATTATGTGTAAAATTGTTGCTAAAAGACAGCAAAGAATAAGAAAAATAAATTTGCCATCAACCTCCCAAGGGTTGGTGAGAGATTCTTCAAACTAGAATCTCATAAAGCAACTGATTAAAAACACATACCAGACACTCTAACCTCTTCTTTCCAATTAGCTAAGCAAATCTATGAAACGCGGGGGGCAGAGCTCTGTGAACTAAGCCAGTCTGACTACCATATATATTTTTTAGACAGAGTCTTGCTCTGTCACCCAGGCTGGAGTGCAGTGGCGCGATCTCCGCTCACTGCAAGCTCCGCCTCCCAGGTTCATGCCATTCTCCTGCCTCAGCCTCCCGAGTAGCTGGGACTACAGGTGCCCACCCAGTTAATTTTTTTGTATTTTTAGTAGAGACGGGGTTTCACCGTGTTAGCCAGGATGGTCTTGATCTCCTGACCTCGTGATCCGCCCACCTCGGCCTCCCAAAGTGCTGGGATTACAGGCGTGAGCTACCGCGCCCGGCCTCTGACTACCATATTTTAGTGCTCAAATCTGTTCCTCCACTCCTGCATCTGGGATTAGTTTGACTCATTTGGCCGATGAGACATTAGCAAATGTGGTGCAAGAAAAGGCTTGTTTGCATCGAGGCTTACTCTCCTTTCTGCTGTGACCAAGCCCAGGCTGCCTGCTAGAGGCCGAGAGACCACATGGAGGGAAGCCTCAGCCATCCCAAGCCCCAGCATCCTAGCTAAGGCCTCAGACATGTCCATGAGGCCACACTAGGCCAGCAGCCCCCAGAGCCAACCCACAAAGTTGTAAGCAATCACACATGGGCTGTATCAAGTCACCGAGCTTCGGGCAGCCTTGAGAATGACTCCTTCCTCGACCAAATCAGCGAGGCTCCTCTGACCCCTCTTCTCAACGAGGCCTCGCCCCCAGCCCTGATCAAATTCCTCATCCTCCGCCTTGAGGTGGAAGTCCCTGGCCTGCCTTAGCCAGACATCCCTCCTTGGTGCAGTGGGTGTCGTTCGACAGGCAGCAGTGCAGGGTTCTGCTGTCATGGGAGCTCTGGCTGCTGTCCGTTTGTACATTCAGCCTCTTAGGCCCATGCTGCTGGCCCCAAAATGACATTCTGAGTAGCAAGAGCCTGGGTTATAGAAGCAAGCATCTCACTTGGACCATTCATTAACTCAGAGTGGGACTTGGAACCCACTGGGTTTCTGTAAATGTCAACCATGCTTAGTGTGCCTTTATGGACACGCTGAAAATCTGAAATATACTCCCCACACCTTGAGGTAGATTGGCTACCACTGCATCTATCAAAAGGAAAACCTGAGCAAAAATGTGCTGTGGGTTCCCATACAAGCAATAAAAATTAAAGAGCCAGAGACCCATGGTGGGTCAGCCATCCTTGGGGTCCTGACCAGACCTCGGGGGCATTGTTAGTCTTGTGCGTCCAGGGCCCCAGTGATATGGTTTGGCTCTGTGTCCTCACCCAAGCATCATCTTGAATTATAATCCTCATAATCCCACGTGTTGAGGGAGGGACTTGGTGGGAGGCGATCTGATCATGGGAGTGGATTCCTGCATGCTGTTCTCATGATAAGTGAGTTCTCACTAGAGCTGATGGTTTTATAAGTGTTTAACAGCTCCTCCTTCATGTACTCTCTCTCCTGCCGCCTTGTGAAGAAGGTGCCTGCTTCCCCTTCCGTCATGATTGTAAGTTTCCTGAGGCCTCCCCAGCCATGCAGAACTGTGAGTCAATTAAATCTCTTTTCTTTATAAATTACCCAGTCTCAGGGAAGTTCTATATAGCAGTGTGGGAACAGACAAACACACCAGCCCTCTCCACCATGGAGCTGGGATCTGAGGGCTGTTCACCTGGGACCCCACCACCGGCCGAGTCTAGACCAGCTGCCCCACTCTGAGCCCTGGATGTAGGAGTCAGTCCAGGGGTGAGATAGGATCCAGGGGAGCCAACCAGAGTGACTCCTTTGGGGTTTTGTCACTGCACGGATGGAGAAAGCTCTAGAAAGTCTAGGAGATAGAGCTGGGAGGATGATAACATGGAAATGCAGCCATGTTCTCCTCTCGTGATTAAAGTCTCACTGCCAGGGAAAGATTGGGGCTGATGCTGAGAAAGAAGGTGTGGGGGAAAGGAGGCTGAAACCTGGGTCATCTGTCTCCTGTTCTTCATGATCCTGGAACTTTGAGGGTGGGGGAGGGTGGGAGGGGACATGGGGCCACGGGCCTCTGTTCTTCAAGGCTCTGTTCTTCAAGGGACCTTTAAGAGGTGATTAGACCCTCTGGATCTGTCGGTTCTGGCACTTGCTCTGTAATTCAACCACCTCTCCAGCATCCTTCAAATACGCCTCTTTCCATGGGAGCAGATTTTGTTGGCTTTTGGCCACTGGCCCTTAAGTCCTGATTAGTATCTACCCCTTGAGTCCTCAGGGTGCTCAGGACAGAGGAAGTCACCAGAACAGGCAATAAGAAAGAGTGGAGAGGATCTCTGTTACCTTAAGACCCCAGTGAGCCTCCTCCCTGCTTCCCAGTCACAGACTCTGGACAGAAACCCTGCCCCCCGCCCCTGGCAAGATGCCAGCTCCCTTCCTGGTCCTGATGTCACAGGTCCCTGGACATGACCTCCCCACCAGGGCAGGACCCCAGCTCCCTTCCTGGTTGTGATGTCACAGGTCCTGACATTCCACAGTGTCCTGGAGACCAAGGATGGGAAACTGTCAACCTTCAGAACGTCCTTCTCCCTCAGCTGGAGGGAGCATGGCAGTGAGCCAAGGAGACGGGACCCTCTGCTTTGTCCTCCTGCTGTGCTGTTGGCAAGAAACTGAGCTCCGGCCGAGAACCGTGATTCCAGGTAGGGCCCCACAGGGATGTCTCAGCAGAAAGAGAACTGAACCAGGTGGGGAGCGGCGGCCTCTTCTCCCATGGGTTCCTCTTATTCCCAACCTACATGAATTTACCATTTATTCCTTGGGGAATGAATGTAGCTGAAAAGTCTTTCTATCTTTGAAGACTTTTTAAAATCTAGATGTCCATAGGAAAGTTGCAAATGTTACTTATTTTAACTTTTTATTATGGAAAATTTCTAACTGGGAAGAATATCATGAACCTTCGTGTATTCACCCTCAGGTTCAATTATTGTGCATATTTTGTTTTTTTCTACACACACACACATACACACTCCACACCACATACACACACTTTTCTTGTTTGGGGAGTATTTTAGCACCATCCCAGATGCCTTACCACCTCATGTAAAACATTTTCTTGCGAAGAGATAAAAGCATTATCTACAATGTCATAATCAGACTAACATAATTACCAAAAGCCTTTATCTCAGCTCATACCGTTAAAAAATATTTGTGATGCTTGCTAAAGATGGGCAGGCAGCCTTTATTCAAAGGGGGCTACTACCATGGTGTCTCATAATAGTGGAGAGTGGGCTCAACTCCAAATACAGGGAAAGTGGAGATTTGCAGCCAAGGATCAGGGTGGGTCAGTGGATGAACATTGCTAAAAGGTAGGAGAATTCTTTGCTAAACTGATTCAGCAAAGGCCAAGAGGGCTTTTATAAACAAAAATGAAGCATTTATATTTTTTGTCCCACCTGATTACTCTAGAATTTGGATATTATGATTTTCAGGACCATACAATTGTTTGCATAAGTTTAATAAAAATTGATTATCCTTGCAACAGGACACAAAGGTCTGCTATCTTTGAAGACCTTTTAAAATCTAGACATCCATGAGAGAGTTGCATATGTTACTTATTTTAACTTTTTATTATGGAAAATTTCTAACTTGGAAGAATATCATGAACCTCCATGTATTCACCCTCTAGTTCAATTATTGTGTATATTGTGTTCGGCCAAACAGGAGGCCAGACCTGAAAGGAAGCCAAGGCAATAAAATAATCAAAGATGGAGGGTGAGGAATTTGATCAGATATCAAGGGTGACCAGGCCAAGACTAGGGGATTTCCACTAAAAGACTTCACAGGATTCCTACTAAACATGGGGAAAAGCAGACAAAAGCAGAAGCTAGGGTCAAGGCCTAGTCAAAGAGAAGACTCAGAGGAGCCTGGCATGAGGTAAGTCAAGGAGCGAGGCTTTCTCATTCCCTCCTCTTGTTCAAGAAAGAAGAGACATTCCTTTTCTCTTTGAACAAGATAAGTCCATGTTTCATCTGGTGGAGGATGTGTGCTGGATGGTACAAGTAGTCGGGAATTTAATGAGGGGAATGTCTACGAAAAAGAGAAGAAAAACAAAGATTTATAGTTGGAAACACAGTTTCCGAATCCAGAGGGCAGTCTGTTGAGAAGATTTCTGGATTTTGGGCTCAAGGTATCTTCAGCCGATGGGGCAAGGATGGATTTCCTAGTTTGCAGGGGGTGTGTCCTTGGTGACATCATGACCATCAGAGCCACAGTCATGGTTATGCTGGGGGCAGAGCGTGGATGTGTCCAGCTTCAGCCTTTCCAGATGGTCCCACGGAAGGCCTGAGTTGTCAGGCTTTAGTTCTCACTAACACCCAGTCAGGAGGGCAGAAGAAAGACTGGAAATGTTAGCCTGGGAACATTGAAGGACTCTAAAAGGCTTCAGGATCCAGTCCAGTTTACAGGTAGATAACAAAGTAGAAAGTAAGGTGGAGTTTATCAAAAGATAAAAAAAAGTAGAATACACAGGGTTATAACTCACAAGGGTGTGCTACCATTTTTCATTAAAACATAAAATATGGCTCTATGGTCACCCTCTTTTTTTGATCAAGATAACCAAAGTAATGCTATTCTTGTCTCAAAAATATATCACATCTTACAAGATTTGGTCTGATTATTTACATAAGTGCAGCAAGAATGGTAATGGACCACATAAACTGAGTTTTCTCTGCTGGAGCTTTTTACAAGGAATCTCAGATTAGATTTTTTAAAAGCTTTTTGAGGCTAGGAAGCCCAGCCAAAAACTCACCATCAGACTTCACATGTGGTACCTAAAGACTTGGGTGAATTTCTCTCTTCCGAAGGTCTCGAGGTTCCCAAAGTTCCTGGATCTGCCAGCAAATGACCTTCTTCACTCACCTGTGGGATGGGGACCCGGTGAGCCAGGTAGCAGGTCAGTTTCTCCAGCTCCATCAAATCAACCTCAGTTTTTAAAAACTGTCTGGTCACCTCTGATTCTATGTATCAATCTCAAATATGACATTCCAGTCAAAGCCTTGGTAATATGACCAATGTTTCCAATCGTGTCCTGTTGCAAGGAGAATCAATTTTTATTAAACTTACGCAAACAATTGTATGGTCCTGAAAATCATAATATCCAAATTCTAGAGTAATCAGGTGGGACAAAAAATATAAATGCTTCATTTTTGTTTATGAAAGTGTAATTACCAAATTGTTGTCCGTTATGCGTAGCCTAAGAGAAACCGGAAGCAGAGAGTTCTTTAAATCTGGAAAACAAAACATTAAAAAACCAGAAACATTTCCAAGAAAATTCAGAAAAATTATAATCGTCCCCACATTGAGTCCCACATCATTAATTCTTGTTCTACTTGATCTTGGGTTAGCAGGTTTACAAATCCGTCAATGTCTCCCTGAGTTCTGGAAAAGTCCAGTCTAATAGTGCAATCTTAGAGGCGTCAGAAACCTTACTCCAGAGTACTTGGCAGAGTCTTACCTAAAAATCTCCTTGAAGACAAAGAATTTTTGGACTGTAGCTGATTGCAAAAGCTTTCAAAAAAGCATCAGAGTAAAACAATAATTGTCTTGAATGACAAAAGACATAAAATGCATAAAATGGCCATGGTTAAAAATCTGATGAGAGTTCATTATGCTGCAATTGACAAGGAAATTTGGTTGTTTCTGTGACATACAACATTACAAGACAATAACGGAAATTAGGACTCATAACTTTATACCAGGACATATCATGGACAGTAAGGACAGTGAAAATTTCTAGGAATTTAATACAATTTCTGAAACACTTATAACATATATGCATACAAATATAAAGAAGGTTAAACATCCCTTATTTGACAATGCTTTTTACGAATTTAATGTATCAAATAAAGCTAATTAGTTTAACATCTTTCTTTTCACCAAGTGAGAGAACAAATCCTTTGAGATTTTCTAGTGGCCCTCTGGGAAATCTCAAAATTAGTTTGAGGTCAAAATTCTTCATTTAGAATTTTACTTGGATGAAGTTGTCAAAAATTATAAAAGTTTTGAATATTTGGTTAAATAGGATCATAAGTTACTATGAAATGGTAGCTATCCATTTAAGTTAAATGACAGTAAAGAATTTTTAAAGAAAATATAGGAAGTAGCATGGTTTTTAAAACAATTTAGCTCTTTTAATATTGAGGAGACTCAGTTTTCTTAAGTAATCAAAAACATGATAAAGAAAACATGAAACACAGGAAATATTTGATAAGACACAGAATCTTTGTTTCCTAGTAAGACTACTCAACAGGTAAGAAACAAGTACCTCTTACAATCTCTTATTAAGAACAGACCAGGCCTGGCGTGGTGGCTCATGCCTGTAATCCCAGCACTTTGGGAGGCCAACATGGGCGGATAATCTGATGTCAGTATTTCAAGATCAGTCTGACCAACATGGTGAAACCCCATCTCTACAAAATTAGCCAGACATGGTGGTGCATGCCTGTAACCCCAGCTACTTGGGAGGCTGAGGCAGGAGAATCACTTGGACCCAGGAAGTGGAGGTTGCAGTGAGCCAAGATCACGCCATTGCACTCCAGCCTAGGCAACAAGAGCAAAACTCAGTCTCAAAAAAAAAAAAAAAAAAAAAACCAGACCAATAATTCAACAAAACTTTGGCCTTTTAGCAGACAGAGAAAATCAAACTCCAGTACTGCATTGCTACACTCTTGATACTAAAGCTCATCTATAAAATCTTATAATAAAATTCATTTACTGCTAGTGTATCTTCACCACATAAGATTTTTCTCTCTCTTTTTTTCTCAGAGACTCGTTACATCTTTCCATACTAATTTACGCATTTTGTCCGGTTTTTTCTCTTCCTGAAAAAACAAATTTTAAACCACTGTAGGACAAAATTACTCACTTTTTTCGTCAACAAAAACACATTCTTCATATCACATAAGCTTTCTTATCAAAAACAGATCTTACTTTCCTTTATACTTTGCACAGGAAGTTGTTTTTCTTCACCCTCATTATTTCCAATAGTTTTAATTACACATGTTGATTATGTTGATTACAATGTTCAACAGAGAAAACTAGGAGTAGACAGTTGTGAATTGTGTCACATATAGCATTCTGTAACAAAGTAGCAAATTGTATGACTATACCATCTTACAATTTTTAGAGATATATTTATCTACAGCATAATTTTTCAAGGTGGCAAAAACAACTTTTGTTAACAGACTCAAATACATTTAGTCTCTCTGTATCATATAAAATAAGAAAACTTTGCTTAGTACTGAGTGTTTCAATAGCTTATCTTATTTAAAAATTATTAATGAAACTCTTGTTTTACTTAACTGATCATGACGCCAGGGTGATGAGTCACCAAAAAGATGTTTAGAAACTGTTTTTAAAAGGCAAACACAGGTTGGGTGCAGTGGCTCATACCTCTAATCCCAGCACTTTGGGAGGTTAAAGCTGGTGGATCACTTGAGCCCAGGAATTTAAAACCAGCCTGGGAAATATGGTGAAACCCCATCTCTACCAAAAAAAATGCAGAAATTAGCAGGGTGTGGTGGCATGTGTCTATAGTTCTGGCTGCTTGGGAGGCTCAGATGGGAGGATCACCTGAGCCCAAGAGGTCGAGGCTGCAGTGAGTCATGATCACACCCCTGCACTCCAGCCTGGCTGACAGAATGAGACCCTGTCCCCCAAAAAAAAAAAAAAAAATGCAGACACGCTATTGTAACTGCCCAAGGGGTTCACTTGCCCCCTGCCCAGGCAGAGCCAATTCTTCAAGACAGGGGAACTGCGATAGAGAAAGAGTAATTCACGCAGAGCCAGCTGTGCAGGAGACCAGAGTTTTATTATTACTCAAATCAGTCTCCCCAGGCATTCGGGAAACAGAGTTTTTACGGATAACTTTGTGGGTGGAGGGAAGCCAGTGAGGCAAGAGTGCTGACTGATCAGGGATGAAATCACAGGGAGTCAAAGCTGTCTTTTTGCACTGAGTCAGTTCCCGGGTGGGGGCCACAAGATCAGATGAGCCACTTTATCCATCTGGGTGGTGCCGGCTGATCCATCAAGGGCAGGATCTGCAAAATATCTCAAGCACTGATCTTAGGAGCAGTTTAGAGAAGGTCAGAATCTTGTGGCCTCCAGCTGCATAACTCTAAACCATATAATTTCTAATCTTGGGGCTAATGTTAGCCCTACAAAAGCAATCTAGACCCCAGGCAAGAAGGAGGACTGCTTTGGGAAAGAGCTGTTACCGTCTTTGTTTAAACTATAAACTAGGTTTCTCCCAAGGTTAGTTCAGCCTACGCCCAGGAGTAAACAAGGACAGATTGGATGTTAGAAGCAAGAGGGAGTCAGTTAAGCTGGAGCTCTTTCACTGTCTCAGTCATAATCTTGCAAACGTGGTTTCAATCTCTCCCTTTGGGTTTTATAGCACCTTAATCTTTTTTGTTGTTTTGTTTTGTTTTGTTTTTGACAGAGTCTCACTCTGTTGCCAGACTGGAGTGCAGAGGCGCCTCTCGATTTCTTGACCTCATGGTCCGCCCGCCTCAGCCTCCCAAAGTGCTGGGACTACAGGCATGAGCCACCGTGCCTGGCCAATAACACCTTAATCTTCAGGTGCAGGCTGTGAAGATGGGAAAAGGCTGTCAATGCTCTGGCTTCTTCCCACTGACAGGGGACGTAGTGGGAATGGGAATGAACCCCAAGGTGAGAACAGTGGAACCGTTTTGCAACTATCTGGGCGACACATGCAGGCCTGGCTGGGCTTCCAAGGCTTGTGTGGTAAAAACATTATTACCTTTATCTATAGTTTTAGTACAGTATTTAAGTAAACAGCATACTATAGGTAAATAATGAGTCCTAGGATAAGGAGCACAATTTTTAATTTTAAAAGCAAAGATTTGAGGCCAGGTGCGGTGGCTTACACCTGTAATCCCAGCACTTTTGGAGACTGAGGCAGGTGGATCACCTGAGGTCAGGAGTTCGAGACCAGCCTGGCCAACATGGTGATACCCTGTCTCTACTAAAAACACAAAAAATTAGCCAGGCATGGTGGCAGGTGCCTGTAATCCCAGCTACTAGGGAGGCTGAGGCAGGAGAATCAGTTGAACCTGGGAGGCAGCAGTTGCAGTAAGCTGAGATCGAGCTATTGCACTCCAGCCTGGGCAACAAGAGTGAAACTCCGTCTAAAAAGAGAGAGAGAGAAAGACAGAAGGAAAGAAAGAAAGAGAGAGAGAGAGAAAGACAGAAGGAAAGAAAGAGACAGAAAGAGAAAGAAAGAAAAAGAAAGAAAGAAAGAAGAAAGAAAAGAAAAGAAAAGAAAAGAAAGAAAGAAAGAAAGAAAGAAAGAAAGAAAGAAAGAAAGAAAGAAAGAAAGAAAGAAAGAAAGAAAGAAAAGAAAGAAAGAAAGGAAAGAAGGAAGAAAGAAAGACTGAAAAAGATTTAAAAGCATTAGTTTGGGGATTCTAACTCATAAAGAATTTATAATTTAGTCTAAACTGCCCAAAAAAACCTTAAGAAGCACTAACAGCAATGTACTATAGGTTTTTTGGAAGCATAATTTTTCTCTCTCCAGTCCCTATTTTTTAAAGAAAAACAAATCATGATAGAAATTATTTACAGTTTACAAAATAAACTTTACTCTTATAGTACTTGGCTTGATTATTTGCATGAAGTACAACTAGAATAATTATTTTTCACTTAGATTTTAATGGGCTTTGATGGAACTTTGTTCCATGAAGAATTTTAGATAAGACTTTTTAAAAGCCGAGCCCAGCCATGGATTTGTAAGCTTAAATACCTATGAGTTGAGCAAATTCCTCTTTTCTTGAGGTCCCAAGATATCTTGCAGTTCCTGGGCCTGTTAGAAAGTGACATTTTTTATTTAGCACAGGTCAGGAACCTTGTACAGGGACTCTGTGTGGACAAGGCATGAGGCCAGATTTCCCAACGGGCTTTAATTGGCTTTATAAGTTAACTTTGATTCTTTAAAGAAGCATGCCAGTCCAGTTAAAGCCTTGGTAAAATGACCAATTTCTCCAATTTTGTCCTGTTACAAAAGAAAACAGATTTTTATTGCACTTATGCAATTAACTATACTGCCATAAATTGAGAATACTTAGAAATAGTTTTCAAATTTTGGAGAAATCAGGTAGAGAGAAACAAATATGTTGTAAATTTTGTTCACAGGAGTATATTTTACTCACTTGTTAAAAGTTGCAAATAGCTTTAAAGAAATAAGTTATCTTGACTTGGAAAACAAAAGGTTTAGCAATGTTTAATACATTAGTTTTCCATAAGAGTTCTAAAGTTTGGGTTTTTTCTTTATTCCAATAACATAATTTTTAAAGTTATCTGAGACCTATACTTAGAGTTTTATATTTGATTATAAACTGCCTTTTGAAAAGGACTAAAGCAAGACAAAATGTTTGTGGATGACAAAAGAATTAGTATAGCCACTATTAAAGACACAGTTGACAAGGAAATTTGTTACCTCTGTATCACACAGTCATTTAACATAATAATTAAAATTATTACTGATAACATATACTAAGTTATATTAGAATTATAGGAGTTTTACATAATTTTGGAACATATATTAATAACACATTTACACAAATATAGCCCAAAGAAAGCCAAACACCATTTTGTATTTGACAATGTTTCCTGTATGGTTTTTATACCAAATAAGCCAAATGTCATTTCTGGACTTTAAAGGACCTAATATTTAAATATTAGGTTAGAAATAGACAAAATTTATAATTTGATTTTGGAACGTTTGTCAAATAGCAAAGGTTTAAAACACTGGATATCACAAAATAGAATCCCATGTCATTATAATAAGTCATTTATTTAGCCAAAATGATAACTTCAAAATCTTAAAAGAAAAACCTTTACTCTGATAGAGGACACTTAGCTTTCCAAACAAGACCCAATAAAGACAGCATGAGGCTAACTGACCTTGTCTCTTCTCTCTCCTCCCTTTTTTCCCTGTCATTTACCCAAAGGAGAAAACAAAACTCTTTCATTATATTTTAACATTACATAAAATTTGTCTTCAAAAGAGAAAACCAAATTTCATGTATGTATTGGTGCATTTTTAATGTTGAAGCTAGTTTATCAAATAAAATTTTATATCTCTATCAGGTTTTAATTAGTTTGACCATAAGGTAAGATTTTTATAAACTTTTAGAAACCTTTACAATTTTCCATCAAAGAGCAGATTAATTTTCTAAGAAAACCCTATTATTCGGACACATGGGCCCAAATTCTGGCCCCACATCAGTATGATTTTAATATTTTAGCCTACAGAAAAAAGCTAATTAAATCTCAGCCAACTTGTTTAAACCCACAGAATTTTGTATAAGATTAACCCTTTACAAACCCTTTTCACTTTGCTTAAACCTTTAGTTTTGTCCCATTACTCTTTTAGGTTAAGACAATCTTTAAAACTCTCTGAACTAGACAAAATTGCATTCCCTTTAACAAAAGCCATATTCCTATGCCTTCTTATAATCTTCTACCAAAAACACGTTCCCTACACATCTTGTATATAAAACTGTTTCTCCAGTAATCTTAATTTTATGTTATAATGTTAATTCTTAGCAACTTTTATTTTTAGTGAAAAACCTGGTAAGTAAGCTATTTTAATTATGTACTAGGGGTGCAGCCTAGGACATGAGACACAAATGAAGATAAGGTCTGACTCTTTTCAGCATAGCTAGCGGCATGCCTCTCCACATGTCTCCAGGCCTTATCTATAATCTAATGCTTCAAAGTAGGTAAATTGAACAATTTTTAAAAGTCAAGGAAATAGTTTGACCTTAAAACATTTAGCAAATCTGATATTTGACCTTAATTTAGACCAAATGTCTACATTTTTAAAATATTTTATTTTACTAATAATTTTTAAAACTGCTTTTATTTCTAAAAGATTACTGGTCACGTGAACAAAAATGCATTAAAGTTTCTACTTTTCTGACAAAACATTTGATTTAAGTGCTTATTTTTTAAGTCAATTAATCAGAGTGCTTTTATATATAAACAAGCATACAACACATATAAATAGACAGACAAAAGATTCAGCACTTGTAAGATTTTTCATTGGCCAGTTTTTTAATTGGATGACTGGCTTCAGGGTGGAGCCCTTGGAGGAACGGAGCTGGGAAAGCATGAAACTTCTAGGGCCTAATAAGCAGGCAGAGCTGGATGGCAAAGACAGATCCCTAAAATTAAGGGTGCCATTTTATACTGAACACTGGATCCCCAAAAGGAGAAAAGTACTACGGGAGAAGACAGTGCAATGCTTCTACTGCGCATTTTATTGCGAGGCAACCCAAAGCCAGTCAGCCCATGTTGTAATTAGACCATCCCCCATGGGAGTCCCATCTGTCAGTGGGGGTGGGGATGTTTCCCTATCTTCCAGATGCCCAAGAGCATGCATCTCTGATCCAAGTAGGCAAAGAGTCAAGTATTCCTCCTTAACTACTATTAGCCACCCCTTAAAGTAGATTTCCTACCTAGTTATTACACACCAAAGCTTTTTTATACTGCGAAGTAGTTTCTGATACCCCCAAAACTCAAAACTGTCAGATGACACAATGCAAAACAGAACATAGCCTTTTATTTTGAGAGGGATTTATCCACTTTTAATTCCTGGGGTTTCATGAGGAAAACAGAGTCTTTTTTTGTTTGTTTTTTGGTGTTTGTTTGCAAAACAGAGTCTGTGGTGCCTCCTCTGTTTTTCCCAAGGAGTCCCCGGCTACCAGAAGTTATCTTAGGGCCTCTCATGTGTGCCTTAAGGGTGACGAGACAAAAAAAAATGGAGACAAATAGTACAGTTGACTGAGAAGAAAAATAAACTTTTTCCAGAAAAACAAGATCCAAGAAGAGAAAAACATAAAGGCCTTTTAAATACATCTATACCTTGTTTATCCACTTTTAATTAACCTGACTTTTAACCATGGTGCTCTTTAAAAAAGAAATCCCTTCAAATCTCTTATTACCTGACTTTAGCCAGGCCAAGTGGCTAATATTTTTAGCTTCTGAACTTTACCAAAGGTAACCTCCTAGGTGTTTCAAAAACATGGTAAGAAGTTTCTTTCTTTACAAGATTTAGAATCTCCACAAGTTCAGAGAAAGGAAAATTCAAGAGAGGAAATCAGAAGCTATCTATGAGGGAAAAAACCTCAATAAATGGCAAAATTACATAAATAAGAAATCAGAAAGGAATCATTACAGAAACCAAGACTAGAACCCAGGCCACCATTGTCAAAAAGCAAAGTCTTAGCTACTGAGTTACAGCATTGAGCAGTTTCTATTGCTCTTTCCAGAAGGAGTCTAGAGAACCAGTTTCAAGCTCGCAAAGGCTTTTAACTGCTTAAGAAAATGTTTAGGGCTAACTAGGACATGAATCCCCTAATTCCTGTCTTCTAGATGGTGAAACCAAGGGAAAGTAACTGCACATGATCACAAGGTTAAGCTCTTAAGGACACAAAACAAGACAGAAAAATTTCATCCAGTATTGGTTTCAGGGACCCACAGCAAAGTTTGTAACTGACCAGCCTGCCAGTCTGGCTTGAAAAGCAGGCTTGAAAGTGAGTCCTAAACCCACATTCTATCCTGTGATACTTCTTTCTCCATTACAGAACACAGAAAGACAAATTCTTAGCACAAAGTACACCAGATTTGCTACCACCTAAGACTAGTTTCACAAATCCTTTCTCCATTAATTAAACCCTTGCAGAGAGACAAATAGTTTACCATTTACTCAGAGAAAGAGAGAGACCAGAAATTTGGCTGGTAAGAATTTCTTATCCTTTTTATCGGCATACCAGGCTTGCGGGCTCCCTTTCTATGCAGATTTCAGAAGAACGGAGTGGTTTCTGATGACCCTGCTCACTGCACCATAGCTGTGGGGTTCAAGCCACTTTACAAGAGAAAATCACCATTTCCTGTTTTATGGAACCATAGGCAAGATTCTTAATTTGCAAGATGCTGCCCAGTGGGCTGCAAGGAGAACGGAATTAACATTTTCTATGCCAGCAAAACACACATAAGAAAACAAACATTGGTCACCTCGTTCAGCACCCAATGTCAACCTGGCAAAGCTCAAACATTTTCCCATTGGTCCCTGTTTTCTTTGATCCACTCCAGGTGGTGATGGACAACCTCTGAATGGTAATTCACAATGAGATCTCTGGGCAAGGCGAAGACAGGCCTATTGAGCCTTCTCTAGGGCTCATCAAATGTGACCAGACAAATAAGGAGGGTTCTGAGTTAGGCCTGCTGGACTTCCATCAGCAACCCCTTCGGAGATCCCTTCCACATACACAAACACACATTAAGATGAGATGGACAGAAGGCCTTCCAAATCAGATCCCCAACTAAGAACTCCAAGAGTATCCCTTTCAAACTATCCTCCTATTCTCCATCTGGGAAACCTCCTCAAAATCTTCCTGAGTGAGAAGTCTCCCAAACCAGGAATCTTCCTACTAGTTAGAAAGAGCCAGCCGAGACCCCCGAGGAGCCAAACAGACACACTACAGTGGGGCTACAGACAGATACCCTACCATGGGGCTACAGACAGACACTCTGATAGGGCTACAGTTAAGGGACGTTTCCCCAGACCTACTTCTCCATTGCAATTAAATCCATGCAAATTGGGTTGGCAGTGCCCCGCCAGTAGAGAGAGTACCAGAGTCAGCCCCTAGTCCAAGAGAACTAGGAAGCTGCTTGGGCTGGCTGGCTTCTGGATCCATTGTTGAAGGGGGGCCACTGAACCATGGGTGGATATCCAAAAAGGCAGTATTGTACAAGCCCCCAAATTTGTAACCACCCAAGGGGTTCACTTTGCCCCCTGCCTAGGCAGAGCCAATTCGTCACAACAGGGGAAATGCAATAGAGAAAGAGTAATTCACCCAGAGCCAGCTGTGCAGGAGACCAGAGTTTTTTTATTACTCAAATCAGTCTCCCCAAGCATTCGGGAAACAGAGTTTTTAAAGATAACTTGGTGGGTGGGGGGAAGCCAGTGAGCCAGGAGTGCTGATTGGTCAGAGATCAAATCATAGGGAGTCAAAGCTGTCTTTTTGCACTAAGTCAGTTCCTGGGTGGGGGCCACAAGATCAGATGAGCCACTTTATCCATCTGGGTGGTGCCAGCTGATCCATCAAGTGCAGGTTCTGCAAAATATCTCAAGCACTGATCTTAGGAGCAGTTTAGGGAGGGTCAGAATCTGGTAGCCTCCAGCTGCATGACTCCTAAACCATAATTTCTAATCTTATGGCTAATGTTAGTCTTACAAAGGCAGTCTAGTCCCCAAGCAAGAAGAAGTTTGCTTTGGGAAAGGGCTGTTACCGTCTTTGTTTATACTATAAACTATGAACCTTCTCCCATAGTTAGTTCGGCCTATGCTCAGGAATAAGCAAGGACAGCTTGGAGGTTAAAAGCATAATGGAGCCTGTTAAATCTCTTTCACTGTCTCAGTCATAATTTTACAAAGGTGGCTTCACTATAACACCAAATAAAGCTACCATCATCTCCAGTTATTTCCCTGTTAACTATTTTTAAGTTTATTTGGCTAGTAACCCAAGTAGAATAAAATTATGTCTGCATTATATCTATAGCTGACAATTCCAAAGACAAACTGTCTTTATTTAACAAACAGTCTCAAACTAGCTTTATATATCAACCATCCTAGTAATGTAAACTTAAAAAACATTTGGGTTAGCTCCTCTGTTTCTGGGAGTCCTGGGAATATTTAATCAAGCACATCTTTTTTCTCTAAGCCAATTTGAATAGAACTCCTTTAAGGAATTTTATAATTACTTCAGCAATACCATCCAGAGGTAGAAAAATATCACATATATGTAACATAGGTACATACACATACAGACAGACACATGAAAACAGTGATTGTATGGCTTCATTCTTAAATTTCAGCCATGAGTCCGGCAACACAGTAACACAAAACTCACTGGTTTATCTCCACTCTATATTTTTATCTGAATTATGTTTCTGATAAAAACGGGATATGTTGAGGTTACCCACTCAATAAGGGCTAAAGATTTTTCTTTCTTAACCAGCATTTGTGAAGGGGAGTTTCAAGCCTTTCTTTTCCCCTGATATTATTTAATCTCACAGAGGCTGTGATTGAAGCAGCCATCTGGATATATCAAAGCCTTCACTGAGTAGATAAAATGCCCCACCTGTTTCCAGTTGGTCTTTTTCCTTTTCAGCCTCAGATCAGGTAGTTGATCTGGGATTGTCTGGGTCCATAAAGCTCCAGGGACTGTTGGGAGTCAAGGGGCTGAGTGGGAAGAGAAGGGTGTAATGGGGGTGGGGGGAGGAGTGGAGGCCCAGGGGGACACATCCAGTGGTGCAAGAGGGCTAACGGAGATTAGATGGTGAGAAGAGAACTCGAGTGCAGAGACTACATCTAGGAGAGAACTCTGGGAGCCAGTGTGGGGAGATCTGGGCCATGGCCACTCTGTATGGTTTGCAAAGTCACGGCAAAAAGGAGAGGAGCAGAGCCAGTGCCACAGTGGGGCAGGTCAGGAGGGTTTTAGAAGGGGTTTCAGTAAACGGAAGAACCTTGCCCACGTGCAATTGAGCTCCATTCCTTTTCATGGGCATGTGTTCAAAAAATGGCAGTGTTAGCACAATCCGAGAGCAGCATTTTTGGCCCTCTGTATTAGTCAGTTCTTGCACTGCTATAGAGACATACCTGAGACTGGGTAATTTATGAAGAAAAGAGGTTTAATTGGTTCACTATTCTGTGAACTGTATAGGCTTCTGCTTCTGGGGAGGCCTCAGGAAACTTACAATCATGGCAGAAGGCAAAGGAGAAGCAAGTACATCTTACATGGCCAGCAGGAGGAACAGAGAGCGTGGGCAGGTGCTACGCACTTGTAAACAACGAAATCTCAGGAAAACTCACTATCACGAGAACAGCAAGGGGGACGCCAGCCCCCGTGATTCAGTCACCTCCCACCAGGCTCCTCCTCCAACACTAGGAATTACAATTCAACCTCAGATTTGAGTGGGGACATAAATCCAAACCATATCAGCCTCTGACATCCAAAGGTGAAGCAGAAGACAGGAAACCCTCACTGCGTGTCCTACATGGACTGGCCAGAGCCTCCATGGCCAGTGGTCTCTCACCAGGAAGGAATGCTGGGGGTGCTGCACTGTTTAAACCACAAAAGGGAGGAGAGTCTGGTCACAGACTTGGATGATTGGCTCAAGGAGACAAAGGAATAGGTCTTTCGTTTCTTGTTTTCCAGAGCTGGCTTCTTCTTACTCCTTAGGAAAGCATTCAGGTCACAGTTGTGTAAGGAATGGGTAAGAGAGAAAAAAGGTCAGAGTTTAGTCCTTACCTCCCAAGATCTGATTTCCTCATCCAAACAGTTGAAACAGGTGACCAAGGTCTTCCCCAGCTTGAAGACCAATTAAGGGATCATTTCTAAATCACTTTCTCACGAGGAACATTGGGTTTCCTTACTCTCCTTGGTCCTTAATGACTCAGTGGGCACTTCAGGCATTTGCCTCAGAAATTGAGTTGACCATGTTTTGTGGCTTTCTTGAGATGTTGGACCTTTAGGGAGAGAGGAGAGCAGTTAACGTGGTCCTAGTGATTGAGAAGGGTGCAGTGCTGTTTTCCCCAAATTAACCAGAATGAAGTCTCAGAACTCCACAGGGAACCCTTTCACGGAGGCCAGCGTGTGCACGATGTAAATATCGAGAAAGAGCAGTGGATTCTTACAATTACATGGCGTGCGGCACCTTAAAACCGTGAGGCTGAAGTCAGAGGTGACACATGAAGGATATGGCAAAGCCACTCCACTTGACAATGCACTTTAAAAACCGCACGGATGTTATAAAACCCAAATATTTTACTCCACATGCTTACTGGCTGACTTGCACAATACTTCCATTATAATTACGGGACAGACACAAAATGAAAAGAATATTTTTAACAAAGCACTTGCACGATGCAGCTGTACCCATTCTTAATGATCATTAATGTCTCATCCAAAGAGAACTGTACTTTGTTTGTTTCGTTTACCGAAGGTCAGCATACTGGGAAGCAATTGCCATCACATCTCAGACCTTTTTGCATATTTTCCCGCATTGTTCTGAGCCTGCATGTGCGCAGACGAGTCGATTGGTATGCAGATTGTCTGTCATTAAAGCCATTTGGAAATCAGCTTTGTCACTGGTTTAGTGTTGGAACTTCAGATCCTAGAAGCCACCACTGGAAAGCTCTGTGCACTCTGAAAGGGAAGGTGTGTGGCCCTGCTGAGCCCAACCTCGGGGCTGGAGGAAGAAGCTGACCTTGACCTTGAGCCAAAGCAATGCCCCAGGACGCTGAGACGCCACACCTCCAATAAAGAAAAACTGTGAATGGCAGAAGCAGGGAACTACTGGGAAGGGGCTAACAAGGAGAAAGCAGTGCTCAGAACCGCCACCCACTCTCAGGGTCACTCAGCACAGTCAGCTCCCATCAGTCAGGCAGCCGAGGCCACAGGTCAGGAGGCCACGGGGCCTGTGGACAACCCATATTCCAGACCTCGGCATTTCACCCACATGACCCCACCTCTTATCTGCAGATGGGACCACCCTGAAATCACTTTGCTTATGAAGGAGGAGAAAGGGGGGTGGCCCATCTCTCTGAGTCCTGCCCCTCCTAAAACAGAGCCATGAAGCCAGGTCTTCATGATGCAGCCACAGCATTGCACAATGTTTCCCATTTCCCCAGAACATGTTTCTAAGCCTCCAGGTGCATGCACTGTGGGCGCCTTTCACGAAGGAGGTCCAAATGCTGCTTTCACAAGAGGAACATGCCCTCTTACTCTGCTTACCTCAAAGCAGCTGGGTGAGCCCAGTCATCCTTGCGACCGGGATGTCGTCTTGACCTCTCAAGGGGTGATTCTAGGGACCAGGAGGGCAGGCTCAGCTCAGAGCTCCTGGACAATTGTCCTCCATCCTCACAGCCACCCCGGAGGTGGCTGTTTCTCCGCATTTTCCAGACAAGAAAGCCAAGTCCCAGAGAACTTTCCTGGGGCCATCTCTCATCACCCGCAGGAGAGACTGGAACTTGGGCAGGGCTCCTTCCTCTAGAGGGGGCTGGTGGGCACCCACAAAACCATATCCATTTAAAGAGAAAAATATGCAAATTCAATGAACATTGTTAAACTGTAGGGTTTTTATTTCCTTCTAGGTTCACCTACTGAAATACCATTCAGTTCAAAACAGGAGGATATGTCTGAATTATTAGGTAAGGAAGCCCCTCCTATCAACCTCTGGCCTGTACGTGAAGAGGGCTGGATGGTTGTCTGTGGCTGTTTCCCAGATAACCTGGTACCAACTGCAGACAGTGGAGGGAACTGATTGGTTTGGGGCTAGAATCATATACCAATGGCCCATAGCTTTACTGCTGACATCTAAGAGTCAAACTCTCAAGAAATTAAGGAAGACAGAATTTTAGACCATTACACCTAAAAAGTGCGTGGGAGCCTTGCTTCTCAAAGTGAGGTCCAAGGACCCTCAGCGTCTGCATCATCTGGTTTGGGGAGCTTGTTAGAAACGCCCAGCGGCAAGCCGGGCCCAGCCCTCCAGCACCAGCACCGCATTCAACCTGATGCCACCGATTCCTGTGCACCTGAGAGGCCCCATGGCTGAGCCGTCCCCTCCTCCACCGCCTCAGCCCTGCCAGCCCCCTGGAAAGATGGTGGAAACTACAGACCCCCTGGCCTCACCCCGGGGATGCAGGCCGTGCTGGTTTGGCTGAGCCTGGTGCCTCTGTGCTTCTCTAGGGCTCTGCAGGTGATGCTAAAGTACAGCCGGCTGAGAACCGCTGCCCTGGGCCAGGGCCGTCCAATAGAAACACAGCATGAGCCGAAGATGTGCTTTTCATTGTCTAGTGGCCACATTAAAAAGACACAGATGAGGCCAAAGCGGGCAGATCACGAGGTCAAGAGACAGAGACCATCCTGGCCAACATGGTGAAACCCCGCCTCTACTAAAAATACAAAAATTAGCTGGGCGTGGTGATGTGTGCCTGTAGTCCCAACCACTTGAGAGGCTGAGACAGGAGAATCCCTTGAACCCTGGAGGCAGAGGTTGCAGTAAGCTGAGATCGCAGCATTGCCCTCCTGCCTGGCAACAGAGCGAGACTCTGTCTCAAAAAAAAAAAAAAAGACACAGATGAAACTCATTGTAATAATATTTTATTTCACGTGATGATTTCAACATGGGATCAGTGTCAAATTACTAGTGAGATGTTTCAGTCTTTCCATCACACTGGCTCTCCACAGTTCCATGTGTCCTTTGCCTTCACGGCCATTTCCACGTGGACAGCCGCGCTCCAGGGTGTGAGCGCTTAGCCAGTGCCTGCACTTCTGCTCTGACCTCTCGTTTTACATGTGGGGAAACTGAGGCCCAGAATGCTGGGACTCAGAGCATGCAGTCCTGACCCCTGCTCACATCGATGCCCTTGGGAAACAGTCACCTCCCAGGACCTCTCTGCCAGCATTGCCTGTGGAGTGGGGTCGGGGTAGAGGATGGGGCCACCTTCCACCCGGCAGGGCCCGGGACTGCGGCTGTGAAGGCTGCACGGCCTCGAACAGGGGCTCCCGTGGGAACGCAGGGCCCCCAGGTGCTGGGCCCTTTCCAGGAGCTGTCGCTGTCAGAAGTCAGGCTTTGCTCCCTTTCCACATCTGGGTGGGAGAGGCCTGGGAAAAGCTCTGCCTGCCTGCGTGTTTGATGGGTTAGGTGGATGGATGAGTGAGCGCTCCAGTGAATGAATGGATGTTCCCATTCTCGCTCCTGCCGCCCCGTCCACTTTCTGGGTACTCAAGGGAACTGCCCCAGGCAGGAGTTAGACTCCCCAAGGTCAAGGAATGGCTGTGACTGGACTCACTTTCCTAGTGAAGCTGGCGGGTGCCAGATTCTGAGAGTTTTAGTCCTGAGACCAGCACCTGCTCCAGCCAGTGTCTCAGCCACCCCCAGAGAAACAGTGGCCTCAGAAAAGGATTCTGGAAGAGGAAAGAGTGGCTGGCGTTTCTGATATTTTTCCTGGGTCCTGACCAACTAAACCTAGAAGGAAGCAGCAGCTCTTACCCCCATCCACACCCCCAGATTTCTTCTAGGTAGAAAGCTGAAAGCATTGACAGTGAGAATTCAAATCCCTGTGGAGGTCAGCGAAGCCCACCCAGGCAGGCCAGGCCGAGACTCTCTGTCCAGAGCTTGCTGTGGGAGGGCAGTCACCACCATCACGTGCAATGTCAAAGCCTCCGAGTCACCATCACGTGCAATTTCAGAGCCTCTGAGTCAGGCAGGGGATGGGGCCTCACTAAGGCAAAGGAAGCCCAGGTCCCGTGCAGGCTGCAGCTGGGTGTGCTGGGGATGGCTCATCAGACGGGCGGTGAGGGGTTGGTGAGGGAGCATGTGTGGCTTTCTCTGGTCGGCTCCGAATTGGAAGCGAGGACAAAAGCCAGAGGAGCTGTCGATGATGGATGCATTCCTGGCCCTCTGGGGCCGGCTGGTCCAGGGGTTGCGCTTCGGCTGCCTGAGTCGTTGCTAGAGGAGGTCTGACTTCCTGCAGGTCTTACTGCGGAGCAGGCCAGCCCCCCGGACTGGCTGCTGCAGGTGTGGTTGGCTCTGTTTCTGTTTTTTGTTTTTTTTGAGATGGAGTCTCACACTCTTGCCACCCAGGGTGAAGTGCAGTGGCGAGATCTCAACTCACTGCAACCTCCACCTTCTGGGTTCAAGCGATTCTCCTGCCTCAGCCTCCCGAGTAGCTGGGATTTCAGATGTGCACCACCTCACCCAGCTAATTTTTGCATTTTTAGTAGGACAGGGTTTCACCATATTGGCCAGGCTGGTCTCAAAGTCCTAACCTCAGGTGATCTGCCCACCTCGGCCTCCCAGTGCGCTGGGATTACAGGAGTGAGCCACTGCGCCCAGCCTGGCCACAGCTGTTTTGATGGATGGTCTGGTCATTGTATTTCAGCTTCTCCTCTCTCAAAAAATTCAACCATCAGCAGTTAGACTTGGTTTTAAAACAAAGAGCTTCCTAACCTTGTTCCACCTGCTGGCTTCATCTCTACCTAAAGCGTTTTTCTAGCCCTGACCAATCTCCCCGAGGGTAGGGAGGCCCGTGGAAGGGTCAAGGCAGCCTTTCGCCCTGGGCAGCTCACCCTGGGGTGGCTCGGCCCCCCGCCTCTCTTTGGCCCCCAAAGCCATGACTGCTCTCCGAGCAGGAACGCGCCTCCTCACAGCTGGGCCACCATCCACCCGCCTCAGGGAATCCCAGGGTGTCTGCAACTTGAGGAGTTTGGGTCCCCAGGAGGCCACTCCCGGCTTCGGGCATGGAGTGGACTGGGTCACACTGGGACAGGTCAGGGACTGTGGGTACAGTTGTTAGAGATGGAGAGTTGCAGAGACAGCCCATCCACCATGGACGGGGGTGATCCCCAGTAACAATGGGGCAACCGAAGCCAGAGTTGGCCAGGAAGTTCAGACAGTGCCCCAGGAGGGCTCACTTCTTAGGGCTGGTCAGCTGAATCCTATCCTCTGCCTGCCCCCATTTGCCCTGGGAGCCCATCTGCCCTTGGTGGAAGCTCTGTTACTGCTGACCTGCTGTGCCTGGTCACGGCTGTAGAATGCTGCCTCCTGGACATGGCTGGCTGGAATGGGGTAGAGACCAGGGACTGAGGCTGGGCCATCCTTGGCCCCCCAGTGCCTGTGCAGTGTCTGGTTCAGAAGAGTGCCCAGTAAATGCTTGCCATTCAAATGCATATCCACTCTTCTCCAAGACCCCTATCTCACTGGACACCATGACTGTTTAGGAACTTGGAATTCCTAAGATTGGTGCTTCTGTCCAATCACTGGCCCCAGAGGACAGAGCCTGAGTGGCAGCGCCCAGCCCCTTGGCTGGGATCCTGGGGCACCCGCGGCTAAGAGGCAGGTGGCACGCAGCTCTGGTCCGGCAGCTCCGCAATACAAGGCCATGTCCCTGAGGTTGTCCTGGCCTCTCCTCAAGCTCGTGCCTCATGATCAAGGATGGTGTCCACAGTGCCAGACACCTCGTCCACTCCCAGGGCAGGAGGCGGGGGTGCAGGCCTGGACACTGGTTCCCCTTTTATCAGGAGGAGCAAATTCCTCGCAGAGCTGGTAGACTCCTCCTACCTTACAGGCCTGTAGCCCACCCGGCTGCAGGGGGCCTCACTGGGGGCACACATTGCCAAAACCCAGCTCTGTGAGTGAGAAAGAGGGACAGCGCGGCTGCTGGGTGAGAAACCAAGAGCCCAGGACAAAGCTTTTTTATCGGTCGTATTGGTGACATCTTCGTTTCCAGTGGCATTTTCAGCCTCTTCCCCTTTACCCTCGAATTCTGCATGAGCTGGTCCTGGGGTGACCAGACGCCCGCTTTGCCTGGGGCTGAGGAGCTTCTTCTTGAGGGACTTTCTGGGCTAAACCCAGAGGGCCCCAGCAAACCAGGACCCACTGCCCAGCCCAGCACTGCAGCCTGGCCTGGTGACTGTGCTGCAGAGACAGCGGTGACTCTCGGTTGCCACAACACCTGGCCATGGCCCAGGCTCCGTGCTGAGCACCTTCTGCATACACTGCTTTATTGGACCCTCAGGAAAGCCCACAGGCAAATACACACCCCCATTTTACAGACAGGAAACCAAAGCTCAGAGCCGTGAGGACGCTTGTCCAAGATCACATTCTGGTGGGAGCAGAGCCCGTGTGTTTTTTCCGGGTCTGTCAGACACAAAGCTCAAGGCTCTCATGGTAAAATCTCCCTAGGAGAACCCATAGGGACGTAAAAGAAGAAAATGCGGCTGTGTTGACACAGAGATCAGGAGCGACGCTCACTCACACACGGAGGGCAGCTTTGGGAGAGCCTCAGAGATGGGACAGAGGGACCCAGGGCAGGAAAGAGACTTAGGACCACGTGTGGGCCAAGCGTCCAGCCTTGTACCTTTGGGGGGCAATGTTCAGTGTCCAAAATGTCCAAATGGTCTCAGTTTTTCTGAAATTATTGAGGGAGGCAGCGGCCTGCCCACCCAGAGAAGGTTCTTTCGAAAGTCAAGTCCCACATCCCCTGGGTTCCCGGAGTTCCTGTTTGTACAGGAACTGTGTGTACATTCACTGTGTGTACAGATGGCCTTAGGGGACAGGAGCCAAGGGCCAGCCCTGCAGGGCCGACTCTAACGTGATCTTGTGTGCTTCTCCCAAGATGAAATTCTGGTCCAGGAGATTTTAGATCTGAATAAAACAACACCGAGCGAAATGCCAAGTACAGCATCAACATTATCAACACCGTTACGTAAGGAGAAAAGCAAGCACACCCCTTTCTAACCCTCTAATTGCCCTTATTCCTGGAGGTCTGTGGTATGGAATACGTGACCCTATAATTTGAGCATTAAGACCAGCTATTTCTGGGGCAAGGGCACATGGAGATGTGAACAATATGGCATCTAAAACCATTTCTACAGCTTCCCGAGACAGAGGAAGTCAACCCTAGACTGGCAGGGTTAATTCCCTTTACTCTGGGATCTCTGGAGTGCGTGTTCAGGCACGTTCTCGCCCTCGGGAGCCACTGCAGGAACACAGGGCACAAGAACCTGAGAACCCTGCACTAACCAACACTTTACAGTTCCTCCCACACACGCCCATGCTCTCACTTCACGCTCACCCAAGGCTTCTGAGAGAGCAGGGCAGTTATCATCACCCCATTTGACAGAAGGTAAAACCAAGGTCTAGCAAATGACTTGCCCAAGCCACACAGTGAGTCATGAACCAACACAAAGAATGGCCTTCCCCAAGTGCAGCTTCACATGGTCAAAGACATATGCAAGGAAATAGAACAGCACATTTAGAACCAAGACAGAGTACTGAATCAACAGTTGCCAAGGAGAGAACTGGGAATCAGAAATCCCCACACAGTGCATGAAAGTGTATTCGGCAGCAGGAAAGTTCAGCACTCTTGAAATCTTGCACCCAGAATGTAAATTCCAGTTCCTAGGATTGGTTCACCTGCCATCTGCCAAGGTCCACACTGTTGGTTCAAGGGAGTCAGAGGGCACCTGACTCTGTTTACACCTTCACTTACCAACGCACATTTCCACATAGAGCTTGCAAACTGTATTAACATCCCAACCTTATATTGTAAAATAAAGCATGGGCCAAAAATGTTTATACCTGTGTAATCAAGAAAACTTTTCCCCATTTTTTTCCATGTTCTTCATTGAAGATGCTGGTATTGATGAGAATTATCAAGCTGGTGGTTCTGAGAATTACCATGAATTATTAGAGAATTTACAATTCTCTCCTGGCATTGAGGTCAAAATTTCCAATGATGGTAAATGCAACCCAGTAATTACCCCTTCCCAAGTCCAGCTGTAATGGGAGAGGTAGGAGGCAGGCAGACGCAGGCGGAAACATCTCCTTCCTGGAGGATAAACCCTTGGTGGGAGAATGTGCCCACTTCCCCTGGTTGGGCAGATCTCCCAGTCTCTGTCGGGGCTGAGGGACCCCCAGCTTCCTCACCCCCTGCTGTGGGGCCGACCCTGGAAAAAACACAGCCCAGGGAAGCACAGCAGAAATGTCTCATGGGCAGGCAGATGCCAAGACAGGGAGGCAGGTGCTGCCACAATGCCTGGCCCCCTCTCCCAAAGCTTCAGCTAAGTCACTTCTCCTTCACAGGGCAGGTGCAGAGAGAGCCAGAGTGCCCCCAGGGGGGTCCCCCAGAAGTAGGGAAAAGCCTCCCTCCAACAGATGAGTCTGCTGGGAAAAAAATCAGTGTGCAAAGGCTCAGAGGATAAGATACTTGGACCCCATGGAGGGGCAAAATACCTCCTCTTTACCCTGGAGATTCAAAACCAGAAAGGGCACATATATATACCCAGGTATATGAGTCCATTCTCACACTGCTACAACGAACTACCTGAGGCTGAGTAATTTATAAAGAAAAGAGGTTTAATTTGTTCATGGTTCTGCAGGCTGTGCATGAGGCATGGCTGGGAGCCCTCAGGAAACTTACAATCATGGCAGAAGACCCTAGAGGAAGCAAGTACATCTTCACATGGAGACAGGAGAGAGAGAGTGAAGGGGGAGGTGCCACACACTTATAACCAGACCTCATGAGAACTCACTATCATGAGAACAGCAAGGAGCAACTCTGCCCCCATGATCCAATCATCTCCCACCAGGTCCCTCCCCTAACACTGGGGATTACATTTAGACATGAGATTTGGTTGGGGACACAGAGCCAAACCATATCACTGGGACACACATGTAGGACATCTGTGGTGTTCCCCACACACAGGACCAGGTCACAGCTCCAGTATCTGATGGTGTGCCAGGAGCCAAGCATTTCTGTAGGAGCCCAGGAATCTGCATCCCAATCCATTACCCCAAAGAGTCCCCCCAATAAGACAGACTCTGGAGTTGGGAAAGATTGAACTCGATTTTTTCAGGACTTAAACAGGAATAAGATTTTATTTAAAATTAATATGAATACCTCCAAATTTGTCTGCCTGGTGGTCAGTGTGGTGTTTGCCAACTGGCGAGTTTCTCTTTCTGCCATTGCTTCTCCATTTATTAATTGGGATTCTGCTTTAAGAAAGAGCTGCCCCTCCTCCCCTGTTTATGTATTCGGTTGCTTATTACTGTCTACATGGGCTACTAGGGATTACTATAGTCTGTGGGTTATAAAACACTAACACCGTTACTGATTGTGAGCCAAGAACTGGATGCTTGCTAAGTTCAATGGCACAGCATTTCTTCCAGGCCCTCTCCACAGAAAGAGCTAGGAAACACTTCTGTGCAAATCACAGATCCGTGCAAATCCTCCTTTCCTGCCCGCACTCCTTTCTTCCTACCCCAGTTCTGCAGTCATTATTTTTTGTATGTATCTTTCCATTGTTTGCAATATTTTGCCATTTCAAACACAGCTGCAGTGAGCAGCCTATAGCACAGGTATTTTCATATTGTCAGGAATTATCTCCAGGGTCAATTCTTAGCATTGGGATGTTGGGTCAAAGGACGTGTGGAGGAGTGAATATGTAGTTTTAATAGTCAGATGAGGCCTGGCTCTGTATTCACATATTGAGTTTCCAAAACATATTTTCAAATAAAACTTGAAAATGATATTAGCATCTCAACTTAGCATGTTTAAATAAATAAATGACCAAAGTGCTTATAAGTGTGTAATCAAGGACATTTTCCCCATTTTTTCCATATTTGTCATTAAAGAAGCCAATGCTAATGCAAATCTCCATGGCGATCCTTCTGAGAATTATCGTGGGCCACAGGTGTCTCCTGGCAGTGAGAAGAGTGTTTCCAGTAAAGGTAAATGTGCCCTGCCCACACTGAGAGCTCTGTGGGAGAGACGGAGGCATGAGTGTGTGAGGTGACTGTCTCCCTCCAGCCTCGCCAGTATGCCTTGTTATGCCATTAGGTTTCCACCAACATCATGGTGAGAAGTGGTATTTCAGTACTGCTTTTGTTTGCAATTGTCTCATTATGAGTGAGTTTAAACATCTCATATGTTTAAGGGCCATTTTTATACCACTTTTGTAAATGTTGCATTCATTACAATTTCCCATTTTCCTTTAGGTTTTTGGTCTTTTAGCCTCATTTCTCAAAGCTGTTTATATTTTAAGAACAAACTTTTAGAGAGAGAGAGATGATAGATAGACAGATAGATGATAGATGGATAATTGTTGGGGTTTGTTAGTTGACTTTTGACTACGTTTATAATTTTTCATGCAAAAAAAGTCAATTTTTGTGTAGCCAAAATTATCAATCTCTGACTGCCTTTAGCTTTTGACTTTCTGAGTTAGAAAGTCTTTCTCCACACTGAGGCTAAAGAAGAATTTGTTTTCCTCCAGTATTTATAGGACTTCATCTGCTACATTAGCTCTTGGATCCATTTGGAGTTTATCTCTGAGCATGGTGTGAGGTGTTCCTAATTTTATATTTTTATGAATGGCTACCCAGTTATCCCTGAACCATTTTTTTAAAAGTCCATCTTTGTCCCATGATTTGCAAAGCCACACGTATTACACACAAAGTTTTTCTGTATGTGACTGTCCTGTCTGGGCCATGCAGCACAGTCCTCTACTAAGGGGCCAGCACCACAGTGTGTTATTCAGAGTGTATTTTAACCTCTGGGACACACTTCCCTCTTTTAGTTTTTTTAGCTTTTCTTTTTCCATGTTTCCCTGATTATATTTTTGGTAACATGTCTAATTTCCTTTCCTTGAGTTTATGTTTTTATTGGGATTGCTTTACATTTGTAAAGTAATTTAGAAAATAACTGGCAGTTTTACAATGTTGAGTGGATCTATCTAAGAATAAGTAATGTCTTTCTGTTTGTTCAATGTCATTTCCTATCTTTCAGGAATATTTTTAAGTCTTCCTTGTATAGGTGTTATACTGTCATGATAAGCTTATTCCTAAGTATTCAGTCTACTTTCTTGCTATTAGAAGCAAGATTTTATCTATCATTGTGTACTTTAACTGGTCTTTTGTATGAATGCCTTGATTTCTATAGGTTAATTTTATCCTGCTATCTTACTGAATTATTTTCTTGTTTGAGTTAGCTTTATCATTGATTATCTAGGGTTTTCCAGATCTGCTGTATTATCATCTGTTAAATAGAAATGGTTTTCTTCTTCTTTACCAATTTTTATGCATCTCATTGATGTCCCTTGCCTAATTGCATTGACTGATATATCCAGGATAATGTTTAATAGTAGTGGAGTGAGTGGGCATTCTTGCCTTGTTCATGGCCTTCATAGAAATGCCTATAATGTTTATCCAGTAAGTAGGATTCTGGCTTTGGAACAGAGGCACACACATTTGAACATGTAAGGAAAGCATCCATCAACCATTTTATGTTTTGTCAAAGTCTTTTTTATCATTTTTGGAGCCCATAGTTTTTTTCTTTAGATCTATTAAATATAGTGAATGATATTAATGAGTTTCCTAATACTGAACCAACCTTGCATTTCTAAAATAAATTCCATTTGGTCATGTTGATTATATTCTTAGAATGGTATTAGATTCAACTTGCCAATATTTTATTTCATATTTTTGCATCCAAATACACAAATGACTCTAGTCTATGGTTGGGGTTTTTTTTAAACCTATCTTTATCAGGTTGAAATACTGATGTTACAATAAAAAATTTATAATAAAAATTAGAAATTTTTCTTTCCTTTTTGGTTCTTTAGAGCATCAGAAGCATTTTGTCTTTTAAAATTTATGAGAAATCCCTGTGAAACCATCTCTTCCTGGTGCTTTTTCTGGGGTAGTTCCTTAATAACTTTATTTCTTCTAGGAAAAGTGATTCTTCAGGTTTCTTAATCAATGGGGTCAATTTAGCCATCTATATTTCCCTAGGAAGTTATCCACTTCTTCTTGGTTTTCAAATGTATTTGAATAGAGATCTTTAAATCATCTCCTGATTTTAAAAAAACTTACTTGTTTCCATTGTTATTTCCCCTTTATGATTTCTTGTTTTGTAAATTTATGCTTAATCATTTTCTTCTTGATCAAGTAAGCCAGTGATCTGTCTGGTTTATCGTTTTTTCTGAAATCCAGGGATTTTTTTAATTTCCATAGGTTTTTGGGAAACAGGTGGTGTTTGGTTACATGAATAAGTTCTTTAGGGGTGATTTCTTAGATTTTGGCGCACCCATCATCCGAACAGTACACACTGTACCCAATTTGTAGTCTTTTATCCCTAACTCCCCTCCCACACTTTCCCCCAAGTTCCCAAAGTCCATTGTGTCATTCTTATGCCTTTCCATCCTCATAGCTTAGCTCCCACTTATGAGTGAGAACATACGATGTTTGGTTTTCCATTACTGAGTTACTGCACTTAGAATAATGGTCTCCAGTTCCATCCAGGTTGCTATGAATGCCATTATTTCATTTCTTTTTATACCTGAGTAGTATTCCATAGCATATATATACCACAATTTCTTTATCCACTCATTGATTTATGGGCATTTGGGCTGATTCCATATTTTTGCAATTGCAAATTGTGCTGTGATAAGCATGTATGTGCAAGTGTCTTTTTCATATAATAACTTCTTTTCCTCTGGGTAGATATGCAGTAGTAGGATTGCTGGATCACATGGTAGTTCTACTTTTAGTTCTTTAAGGAATCTCCACACTGTTTTCCATAGTGGTTGTACCACTTTACATTCCCACCAGCAGTGGAGAAGCATTCCCTTTTTACCACATCCACATCACCATCTATTATTTTTTGATTTTTTGATTATGGCCACTCTTGCAGGAGTGAGGTGGTATAGCATTGTGGTTTTGATTTGTATTTCCCTGATCATTAGTGATGTTCAGCATTTTTTCAACTGTTCGTTGGCCATTTGTATATATTCTTTTGAGAATTGTCTATTCATGTCCTCAGCCCACTTTTTGATGGGATTGTTTGTTTTTTCTTGCTGATTTTTTCATTGTAGATTCTGGATATTAGTCCTTTATCAAATGTATAGATTGTGAAGATTTTCTCCCACTCTGTGGATTGTCTGTTCACTCTGCTGATTATTTCTCTTGCTGTGCAGAAGCTTTTTCATTTCATTAAGTCCCATCTATCTTTGTTTTTGTTGTATTTGCATTTGGGTTCTTGCTCATGAAGTCTTTGCCTAAGCAAATGTCTAGAAGGTTTTTTTCCAATGTTATCTTCTAGAATTGGTATGGTTTCAGGTCTTAAATTTAAGTCCTTTATCCATCTTGAGTTGATTTTTGTATAAGCTGAGAGACAAGGATCCAGTTTCATTCTTCTACATGTGGCTTGTCAATTATACCAGCACCATTTGTTGAATAGGGTGTCCTTTCTCCACTTTATGTTTTTTGTTTGCTTTGTTGAAGATCAGTTGGCTGTAAGGACTTGGCTTTATTTCTGGGTTCTCTATTCTGTTCTTTTGGTCTATGTGCCTATTTTTATACTAGTACCATTCTGTTTGGGTGACTATAGCCTTATAGTATAGTTTAAAGTCAGATAATGTGATGCCTCCAGATTTGTTCTTCTTGCTTAGTCTTGCTTTGGCTATGCAAGCTCTTTTTTCATTCCATATAAATTTTAAGACAAAATCCAGTGTTTTGATATACTAATTAGCTCCATTGTATTCTCTTCTTTTTTTTTTTTTTTTTTTTTTTTAAGACAGTCTCGCTGTGTCGCCCAGGCAGGAGTGCAGTGGCGCTATCTCGGCTCACTGCAAGCTCCGCCTCCCGGGTTCACGCCATTCTCCCGCCTCAGCCTCCAGAGCAGCTGGGACTACAGGCATCCGCCAACATGCCCAGCTAATTTTTTGTATTTTTAGTAGAGACGGGGTTTCACCGTGTTAGCCAGGATGTATTTTCTTCTTTACCTCATTAATTTCTGCCTTTGTCACTAATATTACCTTCTTTATTTTCTCTTATAGTTCACTTTCTTGCTCTTTTTCTAGTTTTAGACCTCAGTAATTCTTTTATTTTTTTCCTTTTACCAATAAGTGTTTAGTGCTGTGTTTCTTTAAATGTATTTCACAGATTCTCATGTATAGTGTTTTCATTATTATTTTCCAGAAATTTATCATTTTAGCTTGTATTTCCCTTTTAACCAAAAGTTTTCCAATTCCCAGGTAACAGGGCATTTTGTCTTTGTTTTTCATAATAATTTCTAGTTTTATTGCCCTGTGATCAGAAAGTACTGTTTGTAATAGTTTTACTTTACAAAATTTGCTCATGGTTTCATAAATATATTCAATTTTTGTGAATGTTCCATAAGCACTTGAGAAACAGGTGTATTCTCCAGTGTCAAGATTTAACTGGAATCTGGTGTGTGTTAATAACAACAACCTTTTGATTATGTTGTTTAAGTCTCCTCTTACATTTTACACCTATTCAACCTGTCTTTTGTTAAGAATAGTGTAAAAATTCTCTATTATAAATATTTTTCTGTGTCTCCTTGCATTTTCTGTAGTTTTTGCTTTATGAGTGTGATTCCTGTGTTATTTGGTGCATAGATTTTTATGAATATTATATCTTCGTTGTGAATTCCAACTTTTAGCATCGAAAAGATACTTTCTTTGTCATGTTAATGTTTTGAGGATTGGATATTTCTTTCTCTGCCATAAGGACCACTATCTCTCTGCTTTCATATTAAATAATAAGATATATTTTGTCCATTCTTTATTTTTTAGTTTACCATTTAAACTTTTATTTTTATTCATTTGCTTTTTTCTTCAATTTTTAAAATTGTGCTAAAATACCCACAACATAATTTGCCATGGTAACCATTTTTAACTGTACAGTTCCATGATGTTAAACATATTCATAATGCTGTCTAACCATCACCACCATGTGTCTCCAGAATTATTTCTATCACCCCAAATTGAAACTCTGTACCATTAAGGAATAACTCCCCTTTCTGCCTCCCTCCAGGCTCTGGCAGCCACCATTCTACTTTCTGTTTCTATGAATTTGACTAGTCAGGTGCCTCATATAAGTGGAATCACACGGTATTTGTCCTTCTGTGATTGGTTTATTTCACTTAGCATAATGTCTTCAAGGTTCATCCCTGTCTTAGCATGTGTCAGAATTTTCTCTCTTTTTAAGGCCAAGTAATTTGGAAATTACATATCTGATAGAGATTAATATTGAGAATGTATTTTAAAAACTCCTAAAACCCAACAACAAATAACTCTATCTAAAAATTAGCAAGGGACTTGAATAGAGATTTTTTTCCAAGAAGATATACATGGCCAATAAGTCCATGAAAAGATGTTCATTATCACCAATTATTAGGGAAATATAAATCAACACTACAATGAGATATTACCTCACAATCATTAGGATGGGTAACATTAATGGATGAGTTAAGCCCATTTACATTATGGATGTGACTGATAATTCATCACAACTCTATCAAAATATTATAAAATTATGTGGATTGTGTTACATTCGCTATGTTTCTTCAGGAGATAAATATTCCTTGTTCTTAGGATATCCAGGAATTGAACTCAGCTCTTCACCAAGAGGACCTAATAGACATCTACAGAACTCTCCACCCCAAATCAACAGAATATACATTCTTCTCAGCACCACATCACACTTATTCCAAAATTGACCACATAGTTGGAAGTAAAGCACTCCTCAGCAAATGTAAAAGAATAGAAATTATAACAAACTGTCTCTCAGACCACAGTGCAATCAAACTAGAACTCAGGATTAAGAAACTCACTCAAAACCACTCAACTACATGGAAACTGAATAACCTGCTCCTGAATGACTACTGGGTACATAACAAAATGAAGGCAGAAATAAAGATATTCTTTGAAACCAATGAGAACAAAGACACAACATACCAGAATTTCTGGGACACATTTAAAGCAGTATGTAGAGGGAAATTTATAGCACTAAATGCCCACAAGAGAAAGCAGGAAATATCTAAAATTGACACCCTAACATCACAATGAAAAGAACTAGAGAAGCAAGAGCAAACACATTCAAAAGCTAGCAGAAGGCAAGAAATAACTAAGATCAGAGCAGAACTGAAAGAGATGGAGACACAAAAAACACTTCAAAAAATCAGTGAATCCAGGAGCTGGTTTTTTGAAAAGATCAACAGAATTGATAGACCTCTAGCAAGACTGATAAAGAAGAAAAGAGAGAAGAATCAAACAGACGCAACAAAAAATGGTAAAGGGGATATCACCACCGATACCAAAGAAATACAAACTACCGTCAGAGAATACTCTAAACACCTCTACGCAAATAAACTAGAAAATCTAGAAGAAATGGATAAATTCCTGGACACGTACACCCTCCCAAGACTAAACCAGGAAGAAGTTGAATCCCTGAATACACCAATAACAGGCTCTGAAATTGAGGCAATAATTAATAGCCTACCAAACAAAAAAAGTCCAGGACCAGACGGATTCACAGCCGAATTCTACCAGAGGTACAAGGAGGAGCTGGTACCATTCCTTCTGAAACTATTCCAATCAATAGAAAAAGAGGGAATCCTCCCTAACTCATTTTTATGAGGCCAGCATCATCCTGATACCAAAGGCTGACAGAGACACAACAAAAAAAGGGAATTTTAGACCAATATCCCTGATGAACATTGATGCAAAAATCCTCAATAACACACTGGCAAACCGAATCCAGCAGCACATCAAAAAGCTTATCCACCATGATCAACTGGGCTTTATCCCTGGGATGCAAGGCTGGTTCAAAGTACGCAAATAAATAAACGTAGTCGAGCATATAAACAGAACCAAAGAAAAAACCACATGATTATCTCAATAGATGCAGAAAAGGCCTTCAACAAAATTCAACAGCCTTTCATGCTAAAAACTCTCAATAAATTAGGTATTGATGGGACGTATCTCAAAATAATAAGAACTATTTATGACAAACCCACAGCCAATATCATACTGAATGGGCAAAAACTGGAAGCATTCCCTTTGAAAACTGGCACAAGACAGGGATACCCTCTCTCACCACTCCTATTCAACATAGTGTTGGAAATTCCAGCCAGGGCAATCAGGCAGGAGAAAGAAATAAGGTGTATTTGATTAGGAAAAGAGGAAGTCAAATTGTCCCTGTTTGCAGATGACATGATTGTATATTTAGAAAACCCTATCGTCTCAGCCCAAAATCTCCTTAAGCTGATAAGCAACTTCAGCAAAATCTCAGGATACAAAATCAATGTGCGAAAATCACAAGCATTCTTATACACCAATAACAGACAAACAGAGAGCCAAATCATGAGTGAACTCCCATTCACAATTGCTTCAAAGAGAATAAAATACCTAGGAATCCAACTTACAAGGGATGTGAAGGACCTCTTCAAGGAGAACAACAAACCACTGCTCAACAAAATAGGACACAAACAAATGGAAGAGCATTCCATGCCCATGGATAGGAAGAATAGATATCATGAAAATGGCCATACTGCCCAAGGTAATTTATAGATTCAATGCCACCCCCATCAAGCTACCAATGACTTTTTTCACAGAATTGGAAAAAACTACTTTAAAGTTCATATGGAACCAAAAAAGGGCCTACATTGCCAAGACAATCCTAAGCCAAAAAAACAAAGCTGGAGGCATCATGCTACCTGACTTCAAACTATACTACAAGGCTACAGTAACCAAAACAGCATGATACTGGTACCAAAACAAAGATATAGACCAATGGAACAGAACAGAGCCCTCAGAAATAATACCACACATCTACAACCATCTGATCTTTGACAAACCTGACAAAAACAAGGAATGGGGAAAGGATTCCCTATTTAATAAATGGTGCTGGGAAAACTGACTAGCCATATGTAGAAAGCTGAAACTGGATCCCCTCCTTATACCTTATACAAAAATTAATTCAAGATGGATTAAAGACTTAAATGTTAGACCTAAAATCATAAAAACCCTAGAAGAAAACCTAGGCAATACCATTCAGGACATAGGCATGGGCAAGGACTTCAGGTCTAAAACACCAAAAGCAATGGCAACAAAAGCCAAAATTGACAAATGGGATCTAATTAAACTAAAGAGCTTCTGCACAGCAAAAGAAACTACCATCAGAATGAACAGGCAACCTGCAGAATGGGAGAAAATTTTTGCAATCTACTCATCTGACAAAGGGCTAATATCCAGAATCTACAAAGAACTCAAACAAATTTACAAGAAAAAAACAAACAACCCCATCAAAAAGTGGGTGAAGGATATGAACAGACACTTCTCAAAAGAAGACATTTATGCAGCCAACAAAAACATGAAAAAATGCTCATCATCACTGGCCATCAGAGAAATGCAAATCAAAACCACAATAAGATACCATCTCACACCAGTTAGAATAGTGATCATTAAAAAGTAAGGAAACAACAGGTGCTGGAGAGGATGTGGAGAAATAGGAACACTTTTACACTGTTGTTGGGACTGTAAACTAGTTCAACCATTGTGGAAGTCAGTGTGGCGATTCCTCAAGGAAGTAGAACTAGAAATACCATTTGACCCAGCCATCCCATTAGTGGGTATATACCCAAAGGATTGTAAATCATGCTGCTATAAAGATGCATGCACACGTATGTTTATTGTGGCACTATTCACAATAGCAAAGACTTGGAACCAACCCAAATGTCCATCAATGATAGACTGGATTAAGAAAATGTGGCACATATACACCATGGAATACTATGCAGCCATAAAAAAGGATGAGTTCATGTCCTTTGTAGGGACATGGATGAAACTGGAAACCATCATTCTCATCAAACTATCGCAAGGACAAAAAACCAAACACCACATGTTCTCACTCATAGGTGGGAATTGAACAATGAGAACACTTGGACACAGGAAGGGAAATATCAGATGCTGGGGCCTGTGATGGGGTGCGGGGATGGGGGAGGGATAGCATTAGGAGATATACCTAATGTAAATGATGAGTTAATGGGTGCAGCACACCAACATGATGCATGTGTACATATGTAACAAACCTGCATATTGTGCACATGTACCCTAGAACTTAAAGTACAATTAAAAAAATATATATATATATTCCTTGTTGTTTAAATTATAAAAGTTGTTTGTTGTTGGGTTTTAGGAGTTTTTATATATTCTGAATATTAATCTCTAATCAGATATATAATTTGCAAATTACTTGGCCTTAAAAAGAAATAAAATTCTGACACATAGTAAAACAGTGATGACCCTTGCAGATATTATGCTAAGTGAAATAAATCAATCACAGAAGGACAAATACTGTGTGATTCCACTTATATGACGCACCTGAGTAGTCCAATTCAGACTATTAAAAAAATAGTGAGTACTGGGGAGGATGTAGAGAAATTGGAATTCTTGTGCACTGTTGATGGGAATGTAAAATGGTGCAGCCACTGCAGAAGACAGTATGGTGGTGCCTCAAAAAATAAAAAATAGAATTACTGTATGACCCAGCAATTACACTTCTGGGTATACACCCAAAATAACTGAAAGCAGGGTTTTGAAGAGGCATTTATACCCCTGTGTTCATAGCATTATTCACAATAGCAAAAACATAGAAGCAATCCAGTGTCCACTGACGAATACATGGATAAGCAAAATGTTGTCCGTCCATTTCTTTATTTTTAACCACTCAACATCACTTAAGTATACAGCATATACTTGGATCTTACTTTCTCAGGAAAACTGAAAAAAATAATTAATGGATGAGTTAAGCTCATTTACATTATCAATGTGACTGGTAATTCATCACAACCCTGTCAAAATATCATAAAATTATGTAGATTGTGTTACATTTGCTATGTTTTTTTTAGGAAGTAAATATTCCTGTTCTTTAAATTATAAAAAAAAAAATTGGGGTATTTAAGAAAGTTTATATTTTTGTTCTACTAAACACCTTTGTACTTACAACTTTTTAAATGTCCCTAATTCCCTTTTTTTCTTATTACACCACTTACTATCTGGTTTTTCAGTTTTTAATTCATATATAATAGTTGCACATATTTACAGGACACATTTAACATTTTGCTATATGCATACAATGTGTAATGATCAAATCTGGGTAACTGAGATGTCCACCACCTCAATCATTTATCATTTCTTTGGGTTGAGAACATTCCACATCTTCTCTTCTAGTACTTTTGAAATATACAATAACATATTGTTAACTGTAATCACCCTACCGTGCTGCCAAATGCTAGAACTTATTCCTTCTATCTAACTGTATTTTTGTTCCCATTAACCAATCTCTCTCTATTTCCTTCTCCCCTTTTACCTTCCCAGCCTCTGGTAACCACCATTGCACTCTCTACCTCCATGAGATCATTTTTTTTAGCTCCAACATATGAGTGAGAGCATGTGATATTAGGCTCTCTGTGCCTTTCACTTGACCTAATGTCCTTCAGTTCCACCTGTGTTGCTGCAATTGACAGGATTTTGGTTTTTTATGACTGAATAGTATTCCATTAGTATTCCATGTGTATGTGTGCCATATTTTCTTTATTCGTTTATCCACTGATGGACACTTACGTTGATACCACGTTTGGTCTATTGTAAATAGAACTGCAATGGCCATGGGAGTGTAGAGATTTCTTTGATGTACTGATTTGCTTTCTTTTAGACATATACCCATCACATCAGTGGGCTTCCTAGATCATATGGTAGTTCTGTTTTTAGTTGTTGTTTGAGGAACCTCTATACTGTTTTCCATAGTGGCTGAACTAGTTTACACTCCCACCAACAATGTACAAGGATTCCCCCTTTTTCCCCATCCTTGCCAGCATCTGACATTTCCTGTGTTTTTGAAAAGTTATTTTAACTGGGATGAGATGATATCTCATTGTGGTTTTGATTTGCATTTCCCTGGTGATTAATGCTTTTCACATACCTGTTGGCCACTTGTATGGCTTCTTTTGAGAATGTCAGTTCAGATCTTTTGCCCATTTTTAAATTAGTTTTTTTGTTTTTTGTTTTTTGTTTTGCTACAGAGTTGTTTGAGTTCCTTATATATTCTGATATTCTGGTAATTGATTTCTTGTCAGATGGATAGTTTGCAAATATTTTCTCCCATTCTTTGTCTCTTCACCTTATTGATTGTTTCATTAGTTGTGTAGGAGCTTTTTAGCTTGATATAATCCTAATTGTCTATTTTTGCTTTTGTTGCCTGTGCTTTTAAGGTCTTACTCAAAAAATATTTGCCCAGACAGATGTTCTAAAGTGTTTTTCTAATGTTTACTTCTAATGTTTTCATAGTTTCAGGTCTTACATTTAAGTCTTTAACCCATTTTGAGTTGATTTTTGTATATGGGTGAGAGATAGGGGTCAAGTTTCATTCTTCTGCATATGAATGTCCAGTTTTCCCAGAACCATTTATAAAGGAGACTATCCTTTTTCAAATGTATGTTCTTAGTGCCTTTGTTGAAAATGAATTGGCTGTAAATGCATAGATTTATTTCTAGATTCCCTATTCTGTCTCCTTGGTCTATGTGTTGGTTTTCAGTGTATTTATTACAGATTTTTGCTTTGTGGTTACCAGGAAACCTAAAAAACACATCCTATAACAAGTTATTTTAAACTGATAACAAATTAACTTTGATCACAAAGAAAAGAAAATAAACAAGCAAAGAACAAACTAAAAATCCCTACACTTTAACTCATTTCCTCCTGCATTTTCACGTTTTGTTGCCTCAATTTGTCTTTTTATATTGCCTATCTCTTTAAAATTATTATTTTTTAATAGATTTGCCTTTTCATCTTTATACTAAAGATATGAGTGGTTTGCACACCACAATTGCAGTGTTAGAGTGCTCTGAATTTTCCTGTCTGCTGACTTTTACCATTGAGTTTCATACCTTCAGATAATTGCTTGTTGCACATTAGCACCCTTTTCTTTCAGATTGAAGACTTCTTTTCAGCCTTTCTTGTAAGACAGGTCTGGTGGATGTGAATTCTCTCGGCTTTTGTTTGTCTGGGAAAGTATTTCTTTTTCAGGTTTGAAGGATAGCTTTGCTGAGTAGAGCATTCTTGGTTGGAAGAGTTGTTTTTTTTTTTCCTTTAGCACTTTAAATATGTCATCCAACTCCCTCCTGGCCTATAAAGTTTCCACTGAGAAGTCTGCTGCCAGATGTATCAGAGCTTCTTTAGATATTATTTGATTATTTTATCTTGCTTCTTTTATAATCCTTTCTTTGTCCTTTACATTTGAGAGCTTGATTATTCGATAAATTGGGGTAGTTTTACTTGGGTTGAATATTCCTGGTGATCTTTGATCTTCTTGTACCTCAGTATTCCTATATTTCTCTAGGTTTGGAAAGGTCTCTGTAATTACTTCTTTGAATAAACTTTCTACTCCTATATTTTTCTCTACTCCTTAAGGCCATGACTCCATAGATTTGCCCTTTCTTGATTTCATAAGTGTTCTGCATTGCTTTTTATTTTCCCCTCTGACTGTATATTTTTAAATGGCCTAAGTATTAGTCCCTTTTGTGTTGCCATAATGGGATACCTGAGGCTGGGTAATTTATAAAGAAAAGAGGTTTATTTGGCTCACAGTTATGCAGGCTGTACAGGAAGCATGGTGCCAGCATCTGCCTCTGGTTGGGGCCTCAGGGAACTTTTCCTCATGGCAGAAGGCAAGGGGAACCAGTGTGTTGTGTGATCAGAGAGGGAGCAAGAGGGAGTGATGGGAGGAGTTCCATGCTCTTGAACAACCAGCTCCTGTGTGAACCAAAAGATCAAGAACTCATTACTGAGGGGAAGGCACCAAGCTGTTTATGAGGGATCCACCCTCATGACCCAAACACCTCCCAGAAGGCCCCACGTCCAACACTGGGGATCACATTTCAACATGAGATTTGGAAGGGACAAACATTCAAACTATATCAGCCTGTATTCAAGCCTGATTCTCCTGCCTGATCAATTCTGCTGTTGAGACACTCTGATTAATTTTTCAGTTTTTAATTATGTTTTTCAGCCCCAGGATTTATTATTGTTATTATTGTTATTATTTCAATCTTTCATTAAATTAATCTGATAAGTTTCTGAATGGCTTTTCTGTGTCTTTTTTTTTTTTTTTTTTTTTTTTTTTTTTTTTTTTTTTTGAGATGTGGTCTCATTCTGTCACTCAGGCTGTAGTGCAATGGCGTGATCTCAGCTCACTGCAACCTCTGCCTCCCAGATTCAAGCAGTTCTCCTGCCTCAGCCTCCCAAGTATCTGGGATTACAGGCACATGCCACCATGCCCAGATAATTTTTGTATTTTTAGTGGAAATGGGGTTTCACCATGTTGGCCAGGCTGGTCTCGAACTCCTGACGTCAAGTGATCTGCCCGTTCTTGGCTTCCCAAAGTGCTGGGATTACAGGTGTGAGCCACCGTGCCCAACCTTTTCTGTGTCTTATTGAAGTTTTCCTCAAAATAGCTATATTTTTGTAGAATTCTCAGTCTTAAAGTCACACATCTTCGTATCTCTAGGGTTGGCTAATGGTGCCTTATTTCATCTATTTGACGGAGTCATATTTTTCTGAATGTTCTTAATGCTTCTGAATGTTCACTGGTGCCTGGGCATTGAAAGTTAGATATTTATTCCAGTCATCACATGGGCTTTGTTTCTACCCATCCTTCAGAGGACCTTTCATTGATTCAAAGGAGACTGACTGACTGTTGAGTTCCCTAAGCCTGTGGTCACTGCAGCCACTTTTGCACTACAGAGCATCCTAAGTCCAGTTACACTGCAAATCTCTTGCAACCTCCTAGATACCCAGCTCTGATGCAGTTGGGGAAAATCAGGGAGAATCCTCTGGGCTCCCAAAGTCCCTCACTCACTTCCCTCTGTTTCCCCATAGCAGACGGAATCTCTCTCCACACTGAGCTGCCTGGAGTTGGAAGAGGAGTGATACCGGCACTCTCATGGCCGCCACAGCTGGCACCAATGCTGGGTCTCACCCAAAGTCCCACAGCTGCCCAGACAAGCACAGTACCAGAGCTCATCCAAGGTCTGCAGCTGCTACTGCCTAACTGCCATTGATGTTTATTCGAGGCTCACGGTCACTTTAGTCAGCCAGTGGTGAAGCCAGCCAGGACTCAGGACCATCATACCAAGCTGGTATTATGGTCTTCCAGCCTGGGGTCGGCCTAGAAATGTTGTCTGGAAGTAATAGCCTGGAATCAGGAGCTTCAGGGTTCTTCCCAGTGTGGTTTTGCTGTGGCAGGGTTTGTGCTAGGTTCCAATGCAAAGGCCCCTGTACTCTTTTCTCTCCTTCTCCCCAGAAGGAGTCTCACTCTAAGCTACAGTGCCTGGAGTTGAGAGAGTTGTGATGTGGGCACTTCTATGGCCCCTGCATCTGGTGTTAAATTGGGTTGCATCCCAAGCCTTCTGCCTCCCAGACCAGTGCAGCACCACAGGGTTCACCCAAGGACTGTGGTCACTATAGCCCTGCTGACACTGAAATTTATTTGGGACCTATGGCCACTTTAGGTAATCAGCAGTGAAGCAGGGCAGGACTCAGGTTCATCCTGCAGGGCAGCGATTCTCCTCTGGCCTGGGGTGGGTCTAAATGCTCCCTCTGTGGGCACTGGCCTGGAATCAAGGACCACGGAATTCTGCCAGGTGCTGTGTTCCACTGTGGTGAGGCCAGCATTGAGCTCCAATGCAAGGTCCCACACTCACTTCCCTCCCTCTCTGAAGCACACAGATTCTCTCTCTGCACTGTGCTGCTTGGTGTTGGGGCAGGGTGGTGTAGGCAATACTACACTGTCCTTCCTACCTTCTTCAATGTGTCTTTTCCTGTTATTATGCTAAAACTAGGTACTATGATCACTCATCTGATTTTCCAGTTCTTGTGAAGGTGACTTCTTGAATGCATAGTTGTTCAATTTTATGTTCCTACAGGGGTCAATCACTGGAGGGTAATATTTAGCTATCTTGCTCCACTTTCTGGATTGTCAGTTGTTGTTGTTGTTGTTTGTTGTTGTTGTTGTTGTTACAGACTGTCACTGTCACCTGGGCTGGAGTGCAGTGGCATGATCTCAGCTTACTGCAACCTATACCTCCTGGGTTCAGGAGATTCCCCTGCCTCAGCCTCCCAAGTAGCTGGGATTATAGGCACCTGCCACCATGCCTGGCTAATTTTTGTGTTTTTAGTAGAGAATGGGTTTCACCATGTTGGCCAGGCTGGTCTCAAACTCCTGACATCAAGGGATCCACCCACCTTGGCCTCTCAAAGTGCTGGGATTACAGGTGTGAGCCACCATGCCCAGCCCCTGCTTTGTCAGTTTTTAATGGTGTACTTGAACTATCAATCATTGCCTAATTTCAATTAGGCATCAACATCAATGAGTTTCTATTTTCCTCTTCATCTCCCTTATCACCTCCCATAGTTTAGTTTTATCACCTCTATTTTGTCAATACATATAGCATTTGCATATTAGTTTTCCAGTCTCACCTATGTTTCAGTCATTTACATATATGATTATGAGTTGTGTGTGTGTGTGTGTGTGTGTGTGTGTATCCACCTTCACCATCACTGTTCTTGTTGAAGTTGTCCAGTTATCTTTTGGTTTGATGAAGCTCATCCTGTAGCAGATTACTGAAGAATGTGCTATGGACACACAAATCTTTAGACTCTTGTATGTTTAAGTTGATGTTTGATGCACACTTAGATGGATATAAAATCCTTGATTTATACTTTTTTTTTTCATTAAGTTGATAGAGAACGCTGCTTCATTGTTGCCTTGCTTTTTTGGTTGTTTTATCTTTGAAATCTAATGGTTTTACTGGGATACATCTTGGTATTAGTTTTCCCAGATACAAAATGGATCCTTTCAAAATTAGACTCACCTATTATTTTTCTATAAAGTTATCTTAATTATAACTTCAAATATTCATTCTATTCCATAGTTAATGCTGCTGTTGTTTTCTTCAATTACACCAATTATACAGATGTTATTTCTTCTTTGCCTGCCTGTATTATATTTTCTTATTATTTCCTCATTGATGTTTTTTACTTATTTCTTTATCTCATTACATTTTCTTGTTTTTCTGACTTACTTTTCTACCTTTTATTACATTTCCATTTAAGTTATATCAGTATTGAAAAATACTGATCCTTTAGTGAATATTTTGATTGCTTTGATATAAGAAAAATAAGTGTATCCTCTGATATTTTTGGTTCTTTTTAATCTTACAGGACCATACATGTTCCCCTTTTGCTACTTTTGTCCTTTGTCATTCAATTTCTAAAAGGAGCCTACTCCTTATTTTTTGTCTTTTCTCTTTCCCAGGTGTTATATATTTTGAAGACTGACACATAAAATTCACATGTGCTTTTTAAGTTCTTTCTCTGTAGCCCTTTCTCTGATCTACCCAGGACCCATATTTAGTATTTTCAGTCTTACAGTGGAGTTGCTTATTCTGATAGTGTTTTCAGATCAATATTAGGCTTTTTCTAGCTCACTTTTCTCACTGTTTTATCTCAACCTGCCATTGCTGATCAATAAATGTTGCATGGAGTGAATGTAGGGCAGGAACAGAGATTCTTCACTATAACTTTTAAATTTTTATTATTTATTTTTTACTTACTGTTATTTTGATATTTGAGTATTTTATAGTTAGGTTATGCCTGAGTGTATAGTTTTGTGTAATCTTATTTTTCTTTCCTGTTTTTCTGTGTCATTTTTTGAGGAAATATTGGGAGACACAGGCCTAGGCAGCTGCCATAGTCCTTAGTCACATGGAAATCAAATCAAAGGACTTAGAAGATTCAATTTACTTATTTGTGTTTGCCAACGTTGAAAACTATATAAGTTGAAAATCTTTAGAAATTCTAGATAAAATATAATAAACATTTTTAAATGTCTATTATGATCTGCAGCAAAGTAAAGGAAATCTTCAGGGCTAGAAAACCAAGAGAGAATTAAAATCCAGAGCAGTAAGTTACAGATCTAATTGCAGAACAATCCTCAACTGTAATTTTCCCTTATGAAACATAGAAATTTGGCTGTTAGAGTTTATTTTCAGAAGATGAGGCCTAGGGAAGAAAAGTGTTGCAAATGAAATCCCTGAATAATGCTACGACTGCTAACAAGACTACACCCTCAGTAAAAGGATAGTGTAGATAAAAAACCATCTACCAGCACAGGAAAATGGAAATATGTCTGTGTAAGCCTGTACCACATGGGGACTTCAAGTTCTGTGTATTCTGGAATAGCTAATCTGTGAAACCAGCATGATAGGAAGTCTCATCTGGTGACACTTTGGGTCAGAGGGCACTTGGCAGAAGCAAATACAAACTTGATGTAAAGAATGATTCCCTTAATTTGGGCTACACAGGATTTTCACAGACAATAGCTCTGCCAAAGGTGAGCTTATAATTCAAAACACAAACTTATGGGAAGCAATATGCCATGGATAATAAGCAGCAGGCAAAATAATAGCATTACTAGACTTCAAGAATTTCAGATAATTGAACAATCTGATAGAGCATTTGACATAAGTACGTTTCAGGTTCTCTACCTCCACTTAGAATGCTGTAAAAAAAATGTTACTGTCTAGCCAGGTGCAGTGGTGGGTGCCTGTAATTCCAGCTACTTGGGAGGCTGAGGCAGGAGAATCACTTGAACCCAGGAGGCAGAGGTTGCAGTGAACTGAGATCATGCACTGCACTCCAGCCTGGGAGACAAGAGTGAGACTCCATTTAAAAAAAAAAACAAAAAACAATGCTACGCTACTCTCACCCTAATAATAAAAAGTGGGATCATCTACAAAACCATGGCTTTCCTTGAGCCCATAAGAACATTCCAGTAGCAGGGTAAAGTAGGCAGAATTCAAAAAAGAGGCAAGCCTACCAAACAGAGCTGGAACACATGAGCTTTCTCATTTTTGGCCAAGCAGGAGGAAAACAGGTCACCACCATACAAGTGGGTAAGAAGTAACCACTGAATTTTTTAATAGCCAAGTGTGGGATATAATATGCATTTGAAAAATCCAGAGGCCCCAGGCACAAGGGGGCTTGCACTCACAAGGTCTTCTCCATAGGTCTCTGTAAGATGCTCACAGGAAGGACTGGGGCACAGCAGGGCCACAGAGGCATGTAGGGAATGATCACCCACAGCTGGGGACAGACAGGTGACCCCTCCCACTTTCTCAGTAGCTCTGAAGCTATAAAAGCCTCTTGCGGAGGGGCAGCAAAGCCTCTTATTCCCAAAGCACAAGCAAAGATCTATGACTTCTGGGGATAGGAGTAAAAGCAAAACTTTTCTGCCTCTAGAAGAAAGATGTTAAACTACCTTGGGGCCAGGATCCTTCACCATTACTAACAGAGAGCTGTTACCACAGGAAGAGACAAGAAATACCACCCAAGACCAACCACTGTAAAAGGCAAAGTTTGGCTACTGAGAGAAGTGACATGGGTGCTGATCAAACAACACAGATTGCCTGAGAGTGAGGCTGGATAAGGACAAGTGAGAAATCCCCTGCCCATCACAGGCCTAGCAGGGAGTAACCAGTGAAGGGAGTATATCCCCTGAGGGAAGGGAAGAACTGAGAAAGAAACCCGCTCTGCCGTGCAGGTGTTCAGGGAAGGCTGAAGGCTAAAGGGAAATAGAAACACTACGAAAGTCTCTGGCCCCCTAGCTCATACTGTGAACACAAGGCAACAGCAGCACACTTCTGGAGGACTTTGATTCTTCGGTGCATTGAAGATGTCAATAGCCACAACTGATTCCAAGCCAGACCTACCTCTGACAAAACTGGCTCAACCCCCATGCTAATGGCATGACGAAAGAAGAGGTGTGCCCATTTTAAGGCATAATACAGTTTACGTCAATCTCTACTGTGCTTCATACATGATGTCTGACATTCAATAAAAAATTACAATACACAAAAGGAAGCAAGAAAAATACCCATTATAAAGTAATAAACAACAGAACCAGACACAGAGATGTCCCAGATGTTGGAACTATCAGACAATGATAACTATGATTACTATGTTAAATAATCTAGTGGAAAATATGTATTAAAAGATGAGGAATTTCAGGAGAGATATGGAAATTATAAGAAGAGTCAAATGGAAATACTAGAAATAAAATACATAATTTCTTAAATTAAGAATTTCTTCCAAGAGCTCATCAGTAGACAGTGCACAGCTAGGAAACAAAGTTAGCTATCTTGAAAATAGGTCAATAGAAATAAAAACTGAAACATAAAGGGAAAAAAAAGAATGAAAAAACACCATATTACCAAAGAGTTATGGGTAAATACCTCATTTCCTCACATACATATCATTGAAATCACAGAAAGATAAAGAGACGAGAGAGAGCAATATAGAGGGAGAAATCATGGCTGAAAATGCCCAAAAGTAATAAAAGTTATCAAACTACCGATCCAAGTATCTCAGAGAACACCAAGCAGGATACGTTTAAACACAGAGACACACACACACTGTAGGCATATCATATTTAAGTTGAAATTTTAAAAAGAGGGTATATTGAAGGCAGCTAGAAGGGAGAAAAGAAACACTTTACATAGAAAAAAACCAAGATAGGAATTACAGCAAACTTCATATCAGAAACTATATAATCTAGAGGACAGTGGAATGACATCTTTAAATGACTGAAAGAAAAAATTGCCATCCCAGAATTCTATTCTCAGAGAAAATATCTTTTACATATGAAGACAAAAATAAGGATTATTTCAGACAAAGATAACACATCGTTAGCAGATCTGCAAAGTTAGAAATGTTAAATGGCATTCTCCAGGCCAAAATGTGGATTGTACAAAGAAATAAAAAGTACCAGAAATAGTAAAAATGAAGTAAATATGAAAGACATTTTGGTACTGTTAGTTGAGATCACTTGAAATACAATTGAATCTCCAAAGGGAAAAGAAAGAAAGAAACATGCAAAAAAAAAAAAAAAAAAGTATGTCAACAAAGCAAAAAGGAGGGCAACTGGAGGTATGCCATTTAAAGGTTCTCACACTTTACATGAGGTGATAAATTACTATTTAAAGTTAGACTGCAATAAGTTAGAGATACATATTTGTAAAGCCTAGATCCAACACTAAAAATATTTAAGGTGTGAATAACAAATCAATAGAGGAAGTAAAATGAATATTTAAAAATACCCAATTAATTCAAAGAAGACAAGGGGAAAAAGAAATAAAGAACAGACAAGGCAAATAGAAAACAGCTAGCAAGTTGGCAGTTTTTAATCCAAAAACATCAATAATTACCTTAAGTCTAAATGTTTTACACCAGGGGTTGTCAAACTATAGGCCAAGGGCCAAATATAAATATAGGAATATAAATCATTCTATTATAAAGACACATGCATGTGTCTGTTCATTGCAGCACTACTCACAATAATAAAGACATGAAATCACCCTAAATGCCAATCATTGAGAGACTGGATAAAGAAAATGTGGTGCATATACACCATGGAATACTATACAGCCATTAAAAAGAATGAAATTATGTCCTTTGCAGGGACATGGATGGAGCTGGAGGCTATAATTTTTAGCAAACTAACACTGGAACAGAAAACCAAATACCGCATGTTCTGACTTATAAGTGGAAGCTAAATGATGAGAACACATGGACACATAGAGGGGAACAAAAGTCACTGGGGCCTACTTGAGAGTGGAGAATGGGAGGAGGGAGAGGATGAGGAAAAATAACTAATAGGGACTAGGCTTAATTGCTGGATGATGAAATAATCTGTACAACAAACCTGGTGACACACTTTAAAACTTGGAGAAAAATAAATGTTTTTCTAGAAAACTTTAGAAAAAAAAGAAGAAAGAAGAAAATTGAAGTGGCTATGTTACTATCAGACAAAGTTGACTTCAAAACAACATTATCAAAGATAAAAGGAAAACTAGATCATTTTAGAAGGGTCAGTTTCTTAGGAAGACACACAATAAACTCAAATATCTATGCACTATCCACCACAGAGCTTCAAAACAAGTATGAAGCCAACCTTGATAGAAATGAAAGTAAAAGCAGACAAATCTATAGTTACATTTGGAAACTTTAGCACTCTTTTTCAGTAATTGATAAAAGAAATAGACAGAATAAGGACATAAAAGGCCAAAACAACATTTTTAGCCAAATTACTCAAATTGACCTTTTATAGAACACAATCCACCCAGCAACAGAAGAATGCATATCTTTACAAATGCTCTTGGAACATTCACCAACATCCACCATCTTTTTGACCACAAAACAAACTTCAACAAGTCTAAAATAATTAAAATCATGCAAAGCATGTTATCTGCACACAACAGAAATAAACCAGAAATCAATAATAGAAAATGATGTGGGGAAATCCTCCAAATATTTGCAAATTATGCAACACACTTCTCAATAACCCAATGCGCAAAGAAGTCACAAGGGAAATTCAAAAATGTTTAACCCTTTTCCCATTTAGAAAAATGAAGTGCGTCTCACTGCCAGTGCTCATTTGCTTTTTACATAAACATGCTCTTTAAGGCAGAAGCAAATCTGACTGATTTTCAGTGTGAAAATAAAATAGAAAAAGTGTTCTTGGAGTTAAGCAGAACTAACATCAGAATTTTCTGAATCATCAGAATTGTCTATTTCAGAAAAATCAGATTCATTGAACAAATCTTTGGCCAGCAACTGTTCAAGAACAATGTTAACATTACATATAGGAATGCTACATTTTCTAGGATTTTACATTTTCAGCAACTGAGAATTACTATATTTTGTAAATAAAAATACCTCTACTAAAAACAGAATGCTATAAATAGAATGATGGCTTTTGTTTCCAAAGTCGATATACTCAAGCGATTCAAAAATTAAAAGTGAGATATTTCATGGTAAAGGTATCTTGGGGTAAATGCTGCTGCCACAAGTACCATTGGCAAGTATTCTCGGGGCAAATGGGAAAGGGTTAATTAAATGAAAAGGAAAACACAACATGTCAAAAGTTGTGGGATGCAACTGAAGCAGTGCTCAAATGGAAATTTATAGCATTAAATGCTTATGCTAAAATAAACATGCTTAAAATTATTCATGGCATAGAAATGGAATTGAGAACAGAAAATATCAAGACACTGTGAAAAACAGGCAAAGTTGTCCAATACCAAAAAAGAACTAGGAGAAACAGAAACAAAAAAGTCATTAAAATTCAAGATGAAGTGATGAGTGGAACAGCAGATCTGTCATAATTGAAAAAAAAGTAAATTGGAAGGTGAACCTGAGGCATAAAGAGCTATAAAACCAGAGACCAGGAAACATAAAAGGTAAGAACCAACATCCCACAGGAGGGAATGGAGAGTGAGCAAGGGGCAGTGTTTGAAGGAATGATTATCAAGGCTATCCCCATATCAGTGAAGAACATAATCCTCAGATTCAGGAATCACAGTATGTTCTAAAGGAAGAGAAATAGAAATGAAATTAGACATATCACTTGTAGAGCTGCAGAACTCCAAAATCCAAGAGACGATCTGGCAATCAACCTGAAACAAGTTAAGATTTCTAAAACAGAACGATTAGACTGTAAACGGTTATTTCCACAGAAAACAATAGAAGTCAAAAGACAGCAAATCATATCTTCAAACGATTTTTTTAAAAGCATGGCTATCAATGTAGAATTCCATACCCAGCTGAAGTATCTGCCAGTGAGAGCAAAATAGACTTTGCTGGAAAAGGCCAAGCGTTTCACATTGAGAGAACTTCGTTTTAAAGAAAACGTCATGAAGCATTTGAGGCAGGAGAAGCAAGATGCAGGAGGCAGGGGTGAACAAAAGCCTGATAAATACGGGGTGAATCCGAACAAGGACCCCCCTGGGTGAAGCGGAGCAGCCCCTACCCGCCCGAAGGCACCGCATGTGACCAGCACTGCTCTTCCCTGTCTCCACCAGCATCTCTGCTGCACTCCAAAGAACCTAGGTGCATCCGTGGTGATGCTGCGTTGGGAGCATGAAGATTCCCCTGTCACTGCCGTCATTTCAATTCTGCGTTTAGCCTTCTCATCACACTGAAGTGGAGCTTCTGCTTCTTCCCCAGTTACGGCTTCCCTGCAGGAGTCTGTGGACTTCAGGATGCGTCAGGAATGAGAGCTGGCCCGGGCCAGGGAGGATCTGGATGATCTACTCGAATGAGCTGTTTCTCTGATGAGAACAGAATGACAGAACTTCACATATAGACAATGGCATTGTGTTGGGGGGCTTGGTGCTTTTCATTAAAAGAAAAATCCATCCTGAAATTCGAACCCTGCTTCCATGGCACAGGGTTAAAGAAATGGAGTCTGAATCTTACAAAGTGCCTCCTCTGGGACCCTCTACTGCCAATTATTGCTTTGCTTCCTCTCACCTCCTCCTCCAGCCTGAGTTATGCCTTTTAATTTTTACCAAAAGCCAAATGGAAGTGTCCAGGCAGCTCCTGATTTAGCTCAGCTCCTAAGATGACAGGAACACAAGAGGCAGGGCCGGTGGCATGGTCTCCTGGGCTGAGAGCTGTCTGTTCATGCTGTCTCAGTACCTGCTGCTCTGGGCTGCAGGTATTTCTCGGTACATCCATATCCCCCCATGGGAACAAGGCTTCCTGAATGAGAGAGTGCACCCTCCATGCCGACCCTAGCACCTTGCCTTGAGTAGGTGTTTGTTGAATGAATGAATGAATGCATAGACACTGAGGAGAATGTGAAACCTTGACCCTTATTTGAGCAGAGGACTGGAGAAGATGCTTCTGTGAGAATGTAAAGGAAAAACCCCTTGGATTCATTAACATGGAGGATCCCACAAAGTCCTAGTGACCTTACCAACAACTCAGATGCAACCTGACAGGACAGCCATGTGCCACAGTGGCGTGGGCGCCCGGATCCAAGGGTGCGCACAGGCTCCCCTGCAGGGTGACATAGGCCAGGAGAACATTGCAATAGAAACAGATGTGAGTCAGAGGGCATGAGTTGAAAAAAAAGTTGAAGAAAAGATGGGGAAAACCATTTCTCCATGTTTACTGATGGCACATGACAAGGATAAATTGTCTGAAACAGAAAAGATGGACCATGAAGCCGATACAACTGGAAGGAAACATGCCTTCTCCCTGGTAGTTAGGAAATGGGATGGCTTCCCCTCAGCTCGGCCCGGCCGCTGGAGCCAAGGTTGGGAGTGCCCTGACTCTGCTCCCAGTTTTCAGGCAGCGCGAGGCCACCCAGGATGGGCCATAAAGTCCATTTATTCGATTGGCACCAACATTTGAAAAAGAAGAACAGAATAAAGACAGAGTGTAAGTATGAAACCGTTTTGTTTTCACCAAGAGTGGAGGCAGAGAGAGAGAAGACAGAGAGAGACAGAGAGAGAGAGACAGGGAGACAAAGAAGATGTGTGAGAGAGAGAGAGAAGCTCTCACAGCGTAACATGATTTTTTTGTGCCCTGGTTGAGAGCTAAAGAAAAGGATGGTGCAGCTCTGGGGGACACATTGTCTCTGCAAATCTCTGAGGTCTGGGAGATGCAAAGCACCCTCTGCCTCCCCACCCTCCATGGCACTGGAGGCTGGGCCCACATCACGGGTCCTAGAGTGGACAGCACCAGAGTTCCATCTGCCAGGTCTGGGATCCCCAGGGAACTGATTTGATTTCAGCATTGTATCCTTAACAAACAGTAGCCCCATGCAGGCACATGTCACTGTGTTCATATGTTTAGTCACTACTGGTTCCCTAGGGCTGCCATACAAAGTACTTAAATGGAAATGTATAGCATTAAATGCTTGTATTGAGTTAATTTGCATATATGGTGTGAGGTTATTGTTGTTTTGGTTTGATTTGTTTTGGTTTGGATTTTTGCATATTCATGTCCAATTGTTCCAACATCATTTGCTAAAAAATTCAACTTTCTCTCTTGAGTTGCCTTAGCATATTTGTCGAAAATCAGTTCATCATATATGTGCAAGTCTGTTTCTGGACTTTTTATTTTGTTTTGTTGATGTAAGACCTGTTCTTCCTCATTGCCCACTTCATTGTCTTGGTTACTGTATGTTGATCACAGGTTTGAATTTTCCAACTTTGTTCTTGATTTTCAAAATCAATCTGGCTATTCTAGTGCCTTTATCTTTCTGTATAAATTTAAGAAACAGCTTATTAATGTCTACAAAAAATTCTGCTAGGATTTTAATTTGGATTGCTACAAATCTATAGATCAATTTGGTAAGATCTGCCATCTTAACAATTTCCAGTCTTCCTACCTATGAGCAACTCCACTTATTTAGATCTTTGCTTTCTTTCACTTTTCGTAGTTTTTAGCATAAAGATCTGGCATATATTTTATTAGGTTTATACATAAGTGTTTAGTAGTTACTGATATTATTATAAATGGCACTTTTTCAAATTCAATATCCAGTTATTCATTTTTAGTATACATAGAAATATTATTGCTTTTGTATATTGACTTTATAACCCATAACCTTACTAAACTCACTCTTTAGTTCCAGTAGCATTTTTGTAGATTCTTTTGGATTTTCTACGTAGAGGATCATATCACCTGGGAATCGTTTGTTCTTCCTTTCCAACATATATGTCTTTTGTTTCTTTTTCTTGCCCTGTATCACTAGTTAGGATCTCCAGTGCAATGTTGAATGTTGAATAGGAGTCATAAGCACAGACATTCTTTCATAAGAGTGAAAGCATTTGGTCATTTGCTAGGAAGGATGATGTTAGCTGCAGGGATTTTTTATACATTCCTTTTGTTGGGTTGAAGAAGTTGCCTTCCATTCCTAGTTTGCTGAGAGTTTTGTTCATAAATGGAGTTTGAATTCTGAGAAAAGTTTTTTCTGAATCTATTCTGAGCATAGCAAATATTTTTTGTACAAAGTCAGACAGTAAATCTTTCAGTCTTTGAGGGCAATGTGGGCTCTGTTCCTCGAGCCTGCCACGGGAACACAAAAGCAACGTGAACAGTGTATGAAAGAATGAGCATGGCTGTGTCCAAGGCAGCTTTATTCACTAAAGCAGGTGCGTCCACAGTTGACCATTAGCCGCAGCTTGCAGCCCTGCATCTGTTGGGATGGTCACTTGGTTTTACTTTATTCTGTTGATGAGGAGAATCACATGTGATTGATTTTTGACCCACTTGGTCATTATATTGTTGGATTTAATTTGCTGAAATTTAATTCAGAATTTTTGCATCTGTATCCCTGGGGGACATTGGTCTGTGGTTTGTTGGGTTTTTAATGCTTTTCTCTAGCTTTGGTTTTAAGGTAATAATGGTTTCATAGAAATGGGTTGGGAAGTAGTCTCTCTTCTTGAATTTTCTAGATACATTCATATGAAATGAATATTATTTCTACCCAAAATGTTTGATAGCATTTATCAGTGAAGACATCTGGGCCTATATTTTCTTTATGGAAGGGTTTTAACTACAATCTTAATTTATTTAATAGATAGAGAGCTATTTTGTGTATTTATTTCTTCTTTAATAAGCTTTGATAATTTGGGTCCTTATGGGAACTTTCTCATTTCACCTAAGTTGGCAAAGTTATTGGCAAAAGTTTTTCACAATAGTTTTTTTTTATTCATTTTCAGTGTCTGCAGGAACTGTAGTGATAGCAATTCTCTAGTAATTTGTATCTTTCTAAAAATCCTATCAGTCTGATTTGAGGTTCATCCATTTTATTGATCTGCTCAGAGAACCAGGTTTTTTGTTTCATTTTCCTCTATTTTGTTTTTAATTATAGTGATTTCTTCTCTTAACATTATTTTCTTTCCTCTGCTTATTGTAAATTTTATTTCCCCTTTTTTCTAACTTTTTGATGTGAATACTTAGATCATGGGTTTGAGACTTCTCATGTTTTCTAATAGAAATGTTTAGTGATTTCCTCTAAGTATCACTTTTATCTCATCCCATAAATTCCAATATGTTGTGTTTTTATTTTCATCCAGTTCAAAATACTTTATCATTCACCTTTTAAATTTCTTCTTTGATCCATAGGTTGTTTAGAAGTGTGCTATTTAGGCTGGGCATGGTGGCTCACACCTGTAATCCCAGCACTTTGGGAGGCCAAGGCAGATGGATTACTTGAGGTCAGGAGTTTGAGACCAGCCTGGCCAAAATGATGAAACCCCATCTCTTCTAAAAATACAAAAATTAGCTGGGCTTGGTGGTGGGCACCAGTAATCCCAGCTACATGGGAGGCTGAGGCAGGAGAATCACTTGACCCCAGGCAGCAGAAGTCACAGTGAGCCAAGATCATGCCACTGCACTCCGGTCTGGGTGACAAAGCGAGACTCTATCTCAAAAAATAAAACAAAAACAAAAACAAAAAAAAGAAGTGTGCTATTTAGTTTCAGATATTTGGAGGTTTTTTCCAGATACCATAATTTTATTGATTTATAATTTAATTTTATTTTGGTGAGAAAATATATGTTATATGGCATGATTATTGTTAAATGAATTTTAAAACTTTAAATATAGCCCAGAATATAGTGTGCTTTAGCAAATATTCCAAGTGTTCCTGAAAAGTATGTGTATTATACTGTTAAGAGGTGGACTGTTCTATAAATGTCAATTAGATCAAGTATGCTAAGTAGACTTGTTCAACTCTTCTATATCCTTATTAAATTTCAATCTACTTGTTCAGTTGATTATGGAGAAAGCACTGTTGAAATCTCAAACCATAATTGTGGATGTGTTCATTACTCCTTTTAGTTCTAGCAGTGTTTCCTTCATGTACTTTGAAGCTCTCTTATTTGGTGAATAAACCTGTAGGATTGTTATGTTTTCTTGGTGAGTTATCCCTGCAACAAGACTCTTGGCCAGGTGCAGTGGCTTGTGCCTGTAATCCTAACACTGGGAGTCTGAGGCAACAGGATCACTTGAGCCCAGGAGTTCAAGACCAGCCTGGGCAACATAGCAAGACCTCATCTCTACAAAAAATAAAATATTGGCTTGGTGTTGTGACACACACTTGTAGTTTCAGCTACTCAGGAGGCTGAGGCAGGAGGATGGCTTTAGCCCAGGAGGTCATGACTGCAGTGAGCCAAGATGGTGCCACTGCACTCCAGCCTGGGTAACAAAGTAAGACCCCATCTCAAAAAAAAAAAAAAGAAAGAAAGAAATGACTCTTTTATTCCTAGTAATATTATTTGCCCCTAAATATACTTTGAGATTTAAGTAACTATTTTACCTTTCTTTTGATTGGTATTAGCATGTCTTATCTTTGTCTATCATTTTACTTTTAACCCATTTGTGTCTTTAGGGGGGTTTCTTATAGACAGCGTATGGTTGGCTCTTGCTTTTTTATCTAATCTGACATTCTATGCTTCTTGAACATATGGTATACAGTTTTATAAAAACATTTTTAATACTTTTGCTTTCTAATTCTACTCTCATGTCATTTCTGGGTCAATTTTGATTAATTTTTCTTCTCATTGTAGATGATATTTTATTGCTTATTCACATACCTGGTCATTTTTGTTTGAATGCCAGACATTGTGAATCTTACTTCATTATGTGTTAGATAGTCTTGTATTTTTAAAACTATTATTGAGCCTGTTCTTTTACCCAGTTAAGTTACTTTAAAGCAGTTTGGTCCTTTTGAGGCTTGCTTTTATGCTATATTAAATGGGACCAAGCAGCATTTATTCTAAGTCTACTATTCCCCACTACTGAAGCAATGTAATTCTGTGTACTCAATTTCCTGTGTATTATGAGGGTTTTTTAAAATGTTTTCTGACAGGAACCCCACTTATTTCTGGCCTGTGTGAGCTCTGGAAATTGTTCTGCCTGTTCAGTTGTGTGGTCCTTTTTCCATCCTTGAGTAGTTTTCTTACAGCCATTCATTGGCCAGTAATCAGCTGAAGGCTCAAGGCATCCCTTGCATCTCTCTCTCTGTGTGTGTGTGTGTGTGTGTGTGTGTGTGTGTGTCTCACTCTGTCCTTTGAACTCTAGCTACTGTGACTTCTCCAAACCCCTCAGTATATTGAGATCACTGGGCTCTGCGTAAGTTCTCACTCCTAATGCTGCCCTGGAAACTCTCCAGGCAGTGCCTGAAGCAAGCATAGGGCTGCATTCAGCTGCTTTCCATCTCTCAGGGGATCACTGCTCTTTGCTGATTATTCTCCGATATATGGGAAAGCACTGTTTCATGTATTTTTTCTTGTTTTTTAATTAAATTGGGAGGATAAATCTAATCCTTGTTACTCCATCCTTTCCAGACATTAAAAATTCAAATACTAGATTTTTACCCATGTGGTTCCATTGAGAATCCTGGAACTGTGAAAAGCTCTGCATTTCAACTCTGGAAGGAAAAGCAAGGACTGGGGTGATGGCCCCTGGGTTCTCCCAGCTCAGCCGCATACAGCCTCAGTGCCCTTAGGAAGGTGCTTTGCCTCACTGGGGCCTCATCTACGCATGAAGACTAAGTATTACCCACGGGTTTCACCAGGTGCCCTATAGTCGAATGAAACCACACATACATAGGGAACGGGGAAATGTTAGCATCATATACTCTTCCCTGGGACTCCCAAGGGCTAGAGATTACAAATAAGCAAACTAAAGATAAAATGTTTTGTATTAAATGATGAATTACATATGTTTCCACAAATAGCTAACCTGAATTATCTGCCAAAATTTTCTAAGGAATCTTCTCTAAAAAAACTCTGTGTGAAATCATTTTGAGTATGAAATTGGCAGTAATCTCTCTGGTGTAGGTTATCCCTGGAAAGATACACAGGAAACTGGGTCACAGTTGTGGCCTCCAGGAGGAAACTGGTAGTGAGGACCAACCACCGGAAACAGCCTGATGTTTCACTGAACATCTTTCCTAAAACTTAAAAATTGTTCAATGGGCTTGTGTCCTTATTAAACATATAAACTGAGCACCTAAGAATAATTTAGATAAATGTTTTTAAAGCATGAAGCAGCCTTTAAGGATGCCTGCAGGCTTTAATGAATGTTTGCAGATCCACGTTCCTCTTAATGTAAAACGGATTAAGAGGAAAATAGATCTGCAACTATCCTCTCTTCCTTGTTGCCAGAAAACCCAACTTCCCCATGTAGTCTGTAACTTCTGGGAGTAAGAAAAGTTTCATGGTTCATAATATCATTCCTGACATACTGACTGTGCCTAAACTTCAGTTTAAGACTTTGGGACCTGGTAAAATCTAAGTATCCCATAGGACATATATAAATTCATGTCATAATTATTCATTTCCTATAACATTAATGTCAACAAGAGACTCATTTACTCAGCAATACCTGCTGAGCCTGCTAGGTGCTCGGCAGATATATGAGGGATTCTTGTTTCCAAGAAATGAGACTGAGGGGTCAGGCCAGTCAACAGTAGTCATTATTCATGCGTTCACAAAATGCAGATGTACCAAACCGTATTTTTAAGGATTCCAGGTTGCACCTGCACGGAGTTTTGGGAGAACTAAAGAGAGGTGGGTCCTCCTGGTGTGCTTTGAGAGTAAGAAAAGTAAATAAAGGAAGAGGATTAGGGTTCTCTGTAGGGTGCCCCCCACTAGGAAATGTGCCTCCCAGGCTGGTGGCTGTTCCAAAGGGAGCCTCCCACCCAACAGCTGCAGAAGCTGGGGCCGGTTTGGGGGGACTTGGAGCCACTCCTGAACTGATTAGCCACTCACACTGCCTGCACCTCTTCCTGAGCAGCGGGGACCACACAGCATAGTCATTGGTAGAAAGGGCTGGCCACGAAGAAAGGTGGGGGAAATTCAGTGTCTGTAAAACCTGTGTCCGGGTCCAAGGACCACGGCTCAAGTGACCATGAGTGTCAGATCCACAGAAGGGAGCCCTGCTCACCACCAGCAGTGGGGAGCCCTTAGGACACAGAGTGGACAGAATACTTCTATGCTAGTGTCTCCTAAGAGTGTAAAGAGAAAACACAGAGAAAGCACAAAGATGTAGGACTCCACGCATTGCTTCGGCACCAAGCCACACTTTCTGGGGCTTGCTGGAGGAAATGTTTTTGATGGCCTCGCCTGAGGCTGTGTCTCGAGAAGCTGCAGCACCTCACCCCGCTTGCTCTGTGCGTGGGTGCTGCTTTGCTCAGCGCTTACGGCTCCCTGAAGTTAAAGGAAAAGTGGAATCATGCCTTAATTATTTACAAAGAGTGATCATTGTACTTATTGTTTTCCCCACAGAAAAGAATTCAAAGAACACTCAGTATGAAAATCTATCCATTCTGGACCAAATCCTTCAAAATATTGGAAGATCTTCAGGTAGATTGGAAATAATAGATAAGTGTCTTCTCATTTGGGGATTCTTTTCCTGCTCAAGGGACAGGTGTGTCTCCGAGCAGCTCCAGGGAGAGCAGGTGAGCCCAGCCCCCAGGTGGACCTACCTGAGCTCCACAGGAGCCCCTGTCCAACCGTTGATGTGTGGAAACCTGACCAGACAAGTCCAATTCAAGGAGTCAAGGCCCGTGTCATTGAAGGAGTGCTCTCCCTTTTCAGCTGAATGGAACAGGGGACTAGTCCCCCTTTTCCCAAGAATAATCAGGACTCACAAGGCTGCCACCACCCACCTACTCAAGGGTCTCAACCACGTGATGACGGGAGCCTGCTCCCCCATGACAGGCCCAGGAAGGGCCCCCACATCCCCTTCAGGAGGCCCCCCACCCTCTCGTGGGGTGGGGACCCCCAGTCCAGCCCTTCTCCACTCCCTGTTCACACAGCTTCACCACTGTCCGCCTGCTAAGAGTTGGCCATGCAGATCCTGTGGCTTCTGTCCCTGGCCCCAGGCTTCTCCTAGGAGCTTTCCAGAACACCTGGGAGCCAGTCCTGGGTGAGGCTGACAGCCCTCTTGTCCTCCCGGTATCCCTGAGTCACATGGCAGCCCAGTGTGCCCAGCCCCTCCCCCCATACCCTGCAGCACTTGCCCGTCCACGCAGCCTGAGACCCTCCATCTGGAGCGCGTCACACCATGAATCCCGAGCTGCTGTCTGTGAACTCCAAAGACTTTGGCAAATGAGCCATTGCCGAGCCACATGGCTGGCTTTTCATAGCCCGAGCACAGAGCCAGACATTGAGACCCTGTCACCTTCACTCACCTCCACTGGTGCTTCCCAAGCACCCACCACGTGCCAGGCACTGTCCTAGGCTCTGGGGTTTCTACATAAAACAGAGAGCCCTGCCTGGGAGCTTACCTGCTAGAGAACAGTTAGGTGGGCCTCCCTGTCCCCTCTTAAAGCATTGGGGTTCTGACTTTTCCATCCAGCCTGTTGGCTGCTGCTCCCAGCCCCTCACTGTCCACAAGCGTGGGAAGCCGGCCAGCTCGTCCTTTGTTAAAATGCCGAAGAGGACGGTCCCGGGAAACGTCGCTGGAGACGACCTCCCTGCTGCATGAGTTGTCATCGAGCACAGGCCAAGAGCTTCTCTGAAGTGGGGCCCCCAGCCCCCCAAGTTCAGACTTTGCCAGGCCAGTGTCAGTCCCAGGACCACAAAACCCCAGGCCACAAGGTCTGCTCGTGCCCCCAGCAGCAGGGACCAGGCCAACACACGCGGTGTAGAAAGGGCAGTGAGCGGTCGTTCAAGCTACGGCCAATATCCCAGATTGTGCCACTGTCCAGGACAACCTCTGCTGCTTTAGATACAATTTCATGATTGACCTTGTCAAGATTCCAGTTCCCTGGGACCTGACTGTTCTGCAGGGAGAACCACAAATTCTCCTATAACTCTAACAGCAAAAGACAGGGGCCTCTGCACTGATGAAGCTCCTGTACGTCACCAGCACCTCTAGGTGTGGCCGTCGGCAACAGAAGCCCTGGAGGTGACAGTGGGGACTTCCAGAGCCCTGGCAATGTTGGACAGTGAAGAACCAGGAGTCCCCAACCTCCTGGTACTGACATCCCAGGAATGAGATCCACAGCCGGCCGCCATGAGGGGAGGAGGAGGAGGACCAGTCCAGCTCCGCCAGGCTTGGAGTTGTCGATGGGTTTTGAGGGAGAACGCGGGGGAAATGACACTGGACAGGGTGGCCCCGCAGGGAGAGCCAAAGGCAGCCTGACGCAGCCAGTGCCCCCCTCCCGGTCCTCCTGCCCCAGACACATCCGCAGGGCTCTCCCCTCCCTCCACAACTGAGGGCTTGGTTCCTCCTGTCCCCTGGTGTCCCTCGATCCTGCCAGTGCCTCCATCTCCCTCATACCACACACTGCCAGTCTCAAAATCTCCTCTTTCCACACAGGAAACATTTTCCATAAAGAGCAGCAGAGGACCAGCGCACAGAGGAGGAGCCAAGGCAGTCAGTGAGGCCGCAGCCCCAGACCCCCTGCGCAGGAGAGGAGCCTGCTAGAACCCCCACCCACCAGCCTCCGGAACAGGGCACTTGTGTGCACACGCCCACGTTCTCTGAACCATTCCACATAAAGGAAAATCGTTTATTCACACGATCCCAATTGGAGTTGGTTTATTTAAGTGTTAAGCCAAAGGGTATGTGGGATTTGGGGTTTTTTTTAAAAAAAAGAAGAAATCAAGAAGCAAAAAAACATATCAAACCTGGAAATAAGAGCATCAGAATATTCTGTCTACAAATAACATAATCTCAGAGCTCATAAAGAACTCGTCCATGAGGAACAGAGACTACAAAGGCCTGAGAGTCTCTTCCCTACTGCCATGCCTTGCAAAACACACACGCACACATATAACACATGCACACACATAACGCATGCATACAAACACAACACATGCATACACAACATGCATGCACGTACAACACATGCACACATACAACACGCATGCACATGCATGTGTGTGCATGCAACACACATGCAACATGCACACACATGCAGCGTACATGCACATCCAACACATGCGCATGCAACATGTGCACACATACAATCCACGTGCATACAATACACGCATACATGCAACACACGTGCAACACGCACACACATACAACACATGGGCACACACGAAGCCTCATTGCATTGGAATGTTTGCCAAGCTTGGGAATGCTGGCTGGGACTGTGTGTTATGGAAGGTGAAGGTTTGCTCCAGGTGGTGTGTGTGACCTACAGCATTACCTGGGGGTAGGGGCTGGGGGTGACCAGGACACATCTTGGGCAACTTTTCTTATCCAAACTGATTCTGACTGTGGAGGGGCTGCAACCTCTGCTGGATTCATTGAGGTGACCCATCTGGAAAGATTTAGGACAAAATATGATTTTCCCATTTCTCTAGAAAGGCAGCCAGGCTTGGAGAAGCTCATGGATCGCGTTTGAGAACAATCCTGGACAGACGACTTCCATGCCCTTTGCACAGTTTAGCAGTGGATTGGTGTCCTTTCCATTAATAACACCATTTTCAAAGGCAGCTGGAAACGGAAGCAGACAATGCCATTGTACTTGTAGCCGCTGGCTGTGCTCTCTTCCTAAGAGATGCAAACGTCCTGTGCCCTCTTTCTATGGTGTCTCCAAGGCAACTGCAGAGGACTGAGGGTTTGGAATCAGAGAATGCTTGTATTGGAATGACCCTTTGAGGCCTTTCATGCAATCCCTCAATTCCAGATGAGGAAACTGAGGCAGCAAGGACACATGACTCACTAGTTACTCAGTAAGTCAGTGGCAAGGCAGGATGCAGTTATTTCTGATGCCCGGTGCTAACCTGTGTCTACTAAACCATGCTGCAGCCTCTCTATGAATACAGGGACAGCTGCGTGTAGTTCTTCTCCTTTCTTTGTACACTTGTAGTTTTTATTTTTCTGTCTTGTGCATGGATCTCACAAAGCATTTTTAGCGAACTCTGTGGTTTATAAGTTGTTTCCATGCACAGTGGCCCACCGAGTCCTCACAGCAAGGCCAGGAGGCAGGCATCGCCTCCACTCCACATGAGTGGGCCTGGGGCTCAGAGGTATTCAGTGGCTCACTCACTGCCACACCGTCACGTGGCCTGTTGCAGCCCTGACACCGTGCCCCAGGCCGGGCCTTTGCTGCTGGATGTTTTAATCGTCAATGGCATCATCGTTTTCCAAGCAGGGTCTTGCAGGGTTTGTCCCCCAGGAAACCTTGGCAGAGCAATGCTGACCCAGAGAAGACAAAACATATAAAGTGTCATTGATTTGACCACTCTCTCTCCTCTGTCCTGACCACATGAGATCCCTGATTACACAGTCTTCAAAAGCTGGAAGTTTGATGTATTAGTTTGATCACATCAAAATATTCCCTCTCTCAGGGATGGCACTGAAAACAGCCACGGGAACACGTTGGGTCTCCAGATTGATGATTGCTGTGCAAGGCTCAAGCACGCCCTGCTTGCTGTATGGGACACACCCTTGCTGTTCCCAGGAGGCTTAAGACAAGAGTCAGGAACTAAGCTGACGAGGAAAATCATCAATGTTAATATTGGCTACCCCAAGGCAAGTGATGAACTGGCTTACAGGGGTGTTAAAGATGTGCCTGTGAGGTAGAAGTGACCCCCACATGTACTAGGATGGGCATTCCAGGAAGAAAGTGTCCCAAAGGTGCCAGGGCAGGGGTGGGTGAGTGTCGGGGGGGCTCTGCCACCGAGGGTGGGAATTGTGGCCAGAGTGGTCCCCTATTATATGTTATGGGTGGGAGAAAATGGTGAAACATATTAATGTATGCTGTATGATTTCAGTTTTTTGAAATTTTTTGAGACTTGATTTAGGGCCAAACATACAGCCAATTTTGGTAAAAATTCCATTTGGAGCTTGGGAGGATGGTGTATTCTGCAGTTTTGGGGGGTGGGATCCCACAGAGTCAATCGGGTCAAGTTTGTTAATTGTGTGGTTAAAATATCTCCTTACTCATTCCTCTTTGGTCATCCAGTATCAAAAGAGGTGTAAAAGATCCCCACTGTGAATGCAAGGCATTTATTTCTTTGGTTCTATTTTGTTTTGTATGTTTCAAAGCTATGTTGCTAGGGTCCTACAGACTAAATTGTCTTTCTGGTGGATTTAAGCCTCTATTGTTATGAAATGTTCCTCTTTATCTGTAGTATTTCTTCTTGCCTTATATTCATTTTGTCTGATATTAACATAGCCACGCTAACTTTCTCTTGGTAAATGTTTGCATGGTATATCATTTTCCATCCTATAATGTTATATTATATATATATATATATATATAGTAATATATAGGAGTACACTTTTAGAAATCCAGTCCTTTTGTCTTTTAATTGGAATATTTCATCCTTTTCCATGAAATATAAGCAGTGCTAGAGCTGGGTTTGTATCTATGAAGCAACTATTTATTTTCTATTTGTCTCACATGCCTCATTTTTTTCTTCTTTCACTTTATTTGGATTAAGCAAGTATTTTTTTAATTCCATTTTCCCCTCTATTAGAACATTATGTATTTTAATATTGTTTTAAAGGTTATATTAGAGACAACAATATATATCCTTGACTTACTATCACCTAAAATTAATACTTTTACCACTTCCTTTTCTCTTCTTTCACTTTATTTAGATTGAGCAAGTTTTTTTTTCATTCAATTTCCCCCTCTATTAGATCATGGATTACGTATTTTTAATATTATTTTAAAGGTTATATTATAGACTACTACAGTATGCATCTTGGACTTCCTATAACCTAAAATTAGCACTTTTACCATTTCCTAATAATGCAAGAATAGAAGAATACTTAACTCCACTTACCATTTTTTGCATTATTTTTGTCACAGATTTTAATTCTACATATATTTTAAATGCTTCAAAATATTATACTTAGTTCTATGCAGTTAATATTTGTTTCAGATTTATCCACATATTTACTCCTTTATTTGTTCTTCATTCTGTTGTGCATTTTTAATGCTTCTGGCTAGCAGTACATTCCTGCCAACTAACTCCTTTTAGTATTTTAGTGTAGCCCTACTGGGAAAATCCTCAGTTTTTATTCGTCTGAAAATATCTTTACCTTCATGTTTTGAAGAATGTTTTCACTAGATGTAGGCTCTAGATTACCAGGTACTTTCTTTTCCATTGTCTTTTGACCTCCATCATTTCTCCTGGGGAATCTACTGTCACTCTCTGTGTTATTACTGCTCCTTGGACAGTAATGTGTCTTTCTACCTCTAGCTAATGTTAATCATTTCTCTTTGCCTTTTCATTTCAGCATTTTTACAATGATGTTCCTAGCTGTGTTTTCATTGCATTTATCCTGTCTAGGGTTTATGGTGATATTTGAACCCATGGCTTATTTCTTTAGTAAGTTCTGAAAAATTCTGTCTTTTCAAATATTCTGTGCCTTTTTTCTCTCTCTCTTCTCTCCTCCAATTACGCATGTTTGATGTTTGTGCTCTGTCCCACACTTTTCTTATACTCTTTTTATTTTTCATTCTTTGTTCTCTTTTATTTCAATCTGAATATTTTCTCCTGACCTACATCCAGACCACTAAATCTCTCTTTAGCTTTGGATAATCATTTAATCATCATATTAAATTAATATTTTATTTTAATTAATTAAAAATTAAAATAATTAATTAAATTTTAATTACTACGTCTTTTAATCCTGGAATTTCCATTTGGTTCTATGGATTCCACTTATCTGTGATGTTCACCATTGTCTCATCTGTTTTATGGATATATTAATCATAGTTATGCCTAATCTGTATTTGATAACTCCAATATCTGTATTATCCAGAAGTCTGTTTCTATTGCCTGGATTATTGATATGATTGGTACTTTTTGATGGAATGCTGGACATCGTGTGATGAAAAACTAGAAACTCTGAAAGACATCTAGCTCTGGTAGCCAGTTAGAGTGAGGACAGATCATCTTAATTAAGTTGTTTTAATACTAGATTTGTCTTTGTAACACCTGGTCTATTTCTAGTTTTCCTTGTTCCTATGGGAATTCCAATTTAGAGCTCTGAGAATTTACCAGGGCCCTTCAAATGCGACTTTTATTTTTTACACTAGGAGACTGCTTGAAAACTCTTTAGCTCCTCAGCCTCTCTGCTACCACTTTCTGCTGACCTTCTCCCCAGCAGCACAGCTGAGGACTTAGGGAATGCTTTAGGGGGACAAGCAGATTGGCTAGTTGGACTCACTACACTGAACAGGCGTTCTTTCTGGGATCTTAGCACCTGAAGCCCTGGCTGTGTAAGAAGCCCTTAACTCACATTTTTTCTTCCCAGCCCTGGGAGATTACTGAAAGCCTCCTAGCAACTGCTTTCTGCTGTGCTGCTCAACCTGTCTGTGATGCATAAGAATTAGCAAATGCCTCAAGGGGGTGATGAGCTCAGAATATAAAACTCACATCCACAAATTTCCTTCTCTCTTAATCTTGACCACTCAAGTTCTGCCCATTTTGGGAGTTTTTCAATATACACATCTGCATTTTATCCAGGTTTTCCCATTGTTTTCAGTGAGGATGTGGCTGCTACTTATCCCAGAACCACATTTTAGAATCTTTAATCTAGAAACAGAGTTAATCAGCTACATCCTGACATCTACAAGGAAGACAGGATTTTGCCACAAAGAGGAAAAAACAGAGCTTCTGTACTTGGGGTCAGGGAGGGAACAGATCAAAACCACCTCAGAGGAAGGGGTGTGTGTGAGCAGTGGGGAGCACTGCAACATTAGGGAGCTCAGAGATGGCTCCAGAAACTAGAGGTGGCAGCCGTGCCACCTCCTGTGAGTCAGGGCAGGACCAACCAAGAGCCTAACACCAACGGCAACACCCAGCCACTTCCCAAACTCTGTACAGTTTTAGGATTGAATGTTAATTTGTTGCAGACAGACTGAGAGGGCTCTGAGAATTGCATTCTATCACCAATATCATCAATGGCTAAGAGCACGTGCACCAGGAACAACAAGACCAGGGTAATGGAAGAACACAGGTAGCAGGGTCAGGACCAGGGCAAGGCTGGTCCCCAAACCACCTTGACAAAGTGCTTTGCAGAAAGACACTACTCGATACATCCACAGTGAGTGTGTGTGTGTGTGTGTGTGTGTGAGAGAGAGAGAGAGAGAGACAGAGAGAGAGAGAAAGATTTGCTGACTAAGGGCTCTATCAATGAGGAGGAATTGGAACTTCACACTAGAATCAAGTTACACTTGTATGTTATCTGGAACATCTCTTGCACATTTATAGCGTAAGTCACCTATTAGTGAACTACGTATAGTTCCTTCTGCAGTTTGAGTTTCTCAACCAGCTGGTCTGTTGTTAAATTCACAAACCCTCTCTCCCCATCTTGCATCAGGGCCTGGTCACCTCTGGTGATCTGGGGTAAACTGGTGCCTGAACAAGATTGAGAGCCACACCCCAGACTCTTAGATTTCCAAAACATAAACCATGACGAAGTGCTGACCCACGGTGGTGCAGCTGGCCTTTTGCCCAAGATCCTCCCAGTTCCTCACTCTGATTCCAGAGGAGGTTGCCTCTGTCCCTATGTGCCAACAGCTGTGTCCAGATGAACAGATTCCAACCCTGGGTCCTCTGAGAACCACAGTTCAGAGGCCAAGGGACCCAAAGCTTCCCCCAGCCCTGCAGTGACCACAGACAAGCAGCAGGAGAACCTGGAACAGTGCACAGTTGAGACAGTCACTTACAGGGAGCGTCGAGATGCCGTGCTCAGAGACAAATGACTGCAGACAGGGCATCTGCTTGCCCTCCCTGAGATTTTAACTGAATACGTGTCAGGACACCATTCCACCATTCTTTTTTTTTTTTTTTTTTTTTGAGATGGAGTCTTGCTCTGTCACCCAGGCTGGAGTGCAGGGGCACGATCTCGGCTCACTGCAACCTTCGCCTCCCAGGTTAGAGCGATTCTCCTGCCTCAGCCTCCCAGGTAGCTGGGATTACAGGCACGCATCACCACGCCCGGCTGATTTTTGTATTTTTAGTAGAGACCAGGTTTCCCCATGTTGGCCAGGCTGGTCTCAAACTCCTGACCTCAGGTGATCCACCCACCTCGGCCTCCCAAAGTGCTGGGGTTACAGGTGTGAGCCGCCGCGCCTGGCCCCCATTCGTTTATTCACAAAAGCACACGCCCGTCTGCTGTTAAACCAACTCCAGGAGTTTCACCACCTTTCAGAAGATGCTACTTTTGAGTAGTGTCTACACAGCAAGAGCCATAGAGGATCCAGCCACTGTCTGCGGCTTTCCTACAGAGAAGAGGGACGGACCGCCACGACCCCCCCCGTCCCCAACTTGCCTGTGTCTTCACTGCTGAATCAGCTGAGCCCAAGTCCTCGGCGGCTGGAACAGACCCTTCCAAAACCGCGCAGGCCCAAGCCCCACGCCCCAGTGCCAGCGTCCTTGCGTGGCTTTGGCTCCAAGGACTTCTGCTATCGATGTTTGGCGCCCTCCTCACCTTTATTCCAAGTGTGAGTTTCCCTTTTCTGGAGTTTATGCTGTTTGGTGAACTGCGCTTTCTAGACACAGCTCTCCAGAGATGAACCTGATTTCCATTGGAAAGCATGGCCTCTTTCCCCTGAGGACCGTGGGCCAGGAGGCCTCTGCTATTCCTGGTCTCTCTGAAAACAGCCTGTGGTCCTTTTCCTTGGGCATTGGGATGGTTTCTGCTCTGGCATGGTCCTCCGTCTCCTTGTGCCCCAGCCAAAGGAAATGGTCCCAGGCAGTCCCATGGCCTGACGCACCTCTGCCCAAGGAGACGCTGCTCACACGCTGGCTGGACACACCCCATGGGAAACATGCACGTTCAGGCACACTTGAGGTCATCTGTGCCGAGGCCGCTCCCTGCCCGAACCCCCCCACCCGTTGTGCTCTCCACGACTGGCGCCTTTGCTGCTGTGCACAGAAGCCCTACCGTGTGCACTGCCGTAGCACAGCCCAGACCTGCCACTCACAACATGGCAAGGCCAGCACCCCAGCGCCCCACATAACCACCTACAGTGGGCCTCAGGTGTGATGCAGCCACACTGCCGTGCAGGCAGACCCAGCTGGATTTCACAGCTGTGCTTGAGGGCAGAGGTCGGCAAAGATTCTCCATCAAGGGCGGGATGAAAAGCATTTGAGGCTTCACAGGCTCTCTGGTCCCTGTGGCAACTCAACCTCCGGATTATAGCACAAAAGCACTAGAGGCCGGGTGCGGTGGTTCACCTGAGGCCAGGAGTTCAAGACCAGCCTGGCCAACATGGTGAAACCCTGTCTCTATTAAAAATATTTTTTAAAAAAAAATTAGCCAGGCGTGGTGGCGGGAACCTGTAATCCCAGCTACTCGGGAGGCTGAGGCAGGAGAACCACTGGAGCCTGGGAGGCCGAGGTTGCAATGAGCTGAGATCACGCCACTGCACTCCAGCCTGGGTGACAGAGGAAGACTCTATCTCAAAAAAAAAAAAAAAAAGCCAGCAGAGGGGATCCATGAACCACGGGCTTGGCTGTGTCCCAGGAAGCTTTATTTACAAACCTAGGTGGGAGCTGCACCCACGGGAGCTTTCTCAGCAGGAGGAGAAGCCCGCCCTGCAGTCCCTCCCTGCACGGGGACCACGGTGGGCTCCTGAGCACTTCCAGTAGGTGCGACTGCAGAACTGAACTCTTCATTTTATCTGGATGAGTTTAAATGTAAACGATCTGTGTGACTGGTGACTCCCACGCTGCCCCGCGCAGCTCTGGGAGCACAAACCTCAGGACGGGTCTCTGCAGGCCCCACCTCTCCCATGAGCCCCACCTCCACGTGTGCCCGGGGCGGGTCTCCCAGCAGCACCACCTCCTCCACCCCCGAAGCTGCTTCTTAGACCAAAGGCTTGCTCCTTGCAAAAGACTGAACAGCTGCATCGTTTCCTAGGTAAGAGGCTGCATACGAAGCTTTAGAAGGCTAAACGTGGCTGGCCCGGGAAACACTGTGTTAAAAAGATGGGACTTTTTAAGAGGCCACATAGACTTGAAAAATATTTGTAATAAAATGTTTTCCAGCTAAAGATCCCACACGATGTTTTTCAACCCAGAAAGCACTCTTACTCCTTGATCCTGAATCACTGATAGAAGAGCTTTGTAAAAGGTGATTCCGACGGCCCTACCAAGCAGATGGCCGGCAGACAGCCCCGAAACACCAGGAATCCGTCCCCGGGGCTGGGTGGAGCAGGCAGGGCTGGCCGGGAGTGAGCAACCAGGTGCTGCCAATTTCACCCTGGCCACCCCTGTCCCAGGCAACGCAGGCTCCAGGAAGGGAGTTCCAGGGTTCAAGTCTCAAAGTCAGGGGCAAGATCTTTCAGCTCGTGGGGTGGTGGTGAGGGCTGACTTAGACGTCGAAAACAGTAGGTCTGAGGAAGTGAAGGAGGTAGTTAATAATAAGAACAACGGACCCCTCCGCCACTTCTGGGGGCTGACCCAGAGCCACACGTCTCATCCACCCGAAGGCGACGGCACCAGGCAGTGAGGACACACGACCGCCACCCTGTGGTCATCACGCACCCTCCAGCCCCAAGGGCAGCCCCACGCCTGCAGTGGTGAGGGGCTCCAGGAGACAGAAGCTGTGGGACCACCCACACACGCACACACACATCACACAGAGGGGGAGATTTTCAGGAACTGGTCGGGAACCTGAGAGAGTCGACACTGCCGTTCAAGTGCAGAGCTCTCTGCAGGCAGGATTCCCTCTTCTGTGGGGACCCCAGTCTTTTTCTTAAGACGTTCCGCAGAGTGGATGAGGCCCACCCACACCACAGCCAGACGACTTTTCTCAAAGTCCCCTGAATTAACATTAATTTCATAGAAAAAGTTGTTCACAGCCGCGTCCCAGGGGCGTCTGTCCAGATATCTGGGTGCCATGGCCCAGCCAGGTTGACATGAGGATTGACCATCACCTCACCCTCCCATCCTCACCCCGCTAAACACAGGGGGATTGGCGGAGAAGCCAGGATCTGTCAGTGGACAGAGCCCAGGCTGAGCCCAGAAGCTGCAGCGCCTGGGCCGGGACCTCAAGCCCTGTCCTGCACTGCCTCTCTATGGCGGGTCCGGGAATAGCAGCCTCCTTCGTCCGGGAAGTTCAGGCTCAGCTGTGCACACCTGACAGGAGGCCGCAGGGTGGCCGAGAGCCCATCCCAGACCCATGACCCCACAGCAAAGCCCTTCATGCTGCCTTGCCCCACACAGGCCCCCGTGACCTTTCCTCCCCGGCAGATGGGGCCACAGAGGAGACCCCGAAAAGATAGCCCCCCAACAGTCCCCCATTACCAAGGCCCTGTGGCTGCACCAGAGGCCATGAGAGTGGGGGCGGTGGGCAGAGCAGACTGTGAAAGGGCTTGGGAGACATGGGGCTTGGGGGTTTTGGGTGGGGGTAAAGACTGGGGTTTGGGGTCAAGCGGGGGTCTGGGACCGTGCCTCACCACGGGATCTGTGTACACAGCGATGCACCCAGCGTACGCGGGCCCTTCCCTCTGAGCCCTCGGCCCCTCATCTGCAGGATGGGTGAGCCCTGGAGAAGCGGGCAGAAGCAGAGGAGGCAGCGAACGCAGAGCATGTGGCCTGTGACTGAGCCTAGAAAGTCCGCTCGGCAACAGAGGCTGCAATCCAGAAAGCCCCCTCGGTGACAGAGGCTACAATCTAGAAAGCTCGCTCAGCGACAGAGGCTACCACCTAGAAAGCCTGCTCGGCGACAGACACTACAATCTAGACAGCCCATTTGGCGACAGTGGCTACAACCCAGACAGCCCGCTCAGCAACAGTGTCTATGATCTAGAAAGCTCCCTCGGCAACAGCAGCTGTCATCTAGAAAGCCCGCTCAGCGACAGAGGCCACAATCTAGAAAGCCTCCTCAGCGACAGCGGCTGCGACCCAGAAAGCCCTCTCAGTGACAGTGGCTATGATCGCTCGCAACTCTGGCCCCTGGCTCTGTTGGTCAAGCCTGCCACAGCCCGGAAGCCTCTGCAGCCTCCCTGTTGCTGCTGAAAAGGACGCTGGTTGGAGAAGGACCCAAGGAAGCACCGACAGATTGGGACCGGCTCGGGGCTGACTAGCCGGGAGGCTGAGAGGCTGGTGCCCAGGCTGCCCCTTGACCCTGCTGCACCAGCGCCGCCTCTGCGTTTGGTCCTGTCTCAAAGACCGAGGGGAACAACAGAGCAGGGTGGGGGTGAGGAGACTGAGGTGAACAGAGCAGGATGGGGGTGCGGAGACTGAGGTGAACGGGTGAGGAGGACTGAGGTGAACCCACCCTTGCTGGCCATTTCCGTTTCCCCACGAGGCAACATTACTTTTCAATACTGGGTAAAGGCTGTGCGACCACAGAACCACAGATGTCAGACCCCTCCCACTCTGACCAGAAAGCCCCCTTCGAGGAGCCTGAGGCTGCCCTGCCTGCGTCCGCTTCACTCGTGTCCACACTCACAGCTTCCACCCCTTGCACCCCCCATGGAGGGGGCGGCAGGCGGCCGCTCAAGGTCCGCTCCCCGTGCCCTGCCCGCCACGCCCGCCCTCCCTCCCCGGGCTCTCCCCGCCCTGGTCCCGCACAAGCTGAGCCCCTCTGCCTTCACCCTCAGGGAAGCGGGCTCCCTGTTAGGGACTTGGAGCAAGGTCGGCCCCTACTTTCCCGCTGCCCCTCAAGATTTCACAGTGAGAAGCTGGGCTGGGGACCCGCAGGTGTTCACAGAGGCTCACTGTCACTGTCTCAACGCTGGGGTCTGTTCTGTTTAGACTCACCTCGATCCTGTACCTGGACACAGTAGGGTTCATGGTCTTTTGCTGAACTAAGCTGAGCTGGATTCCAGCCCTCCAAGGAGCCTGTGATGGGAGGGGCTGGTCTCTCCCTTGGCGAGGAGTAGGGAGGAGCCAATGGGCACAGAATGGAGACACACCCCACTCAGGTCCAGTGGTCAGAGGTGGGGCAGGGGGCCCAGTGGTCAGAGTGACGAAGGTGCTGTGTCCTGGGGAGGCTCAGCCCCTGCCAGCATCCCACCCCCTCCAGGCAGCAGCTTCCCGGCGTTCCTGGATCCCCTCTTGCCTTTAACTCCCACCTGCACGATCCAGTTCTCCCACACTCCATGCGTGTTCCTACTGAACGCCGACGGGGACAATTGCAGAAAGCCCAGGAGCCTTTAGGTTGGGTTTGCCTGCTCTTTTCTGACACCCAAGGGCTACAATAACATTTGCTTTTGAGGGAAGCTGCCATTTTTAATCAGCTGAACAGTGACCCAGCACAACAGGCTGAGTACTGCAAAGAAAAGTTTAACAGAATAAATGTGGGGACAGGCACAGAGTCCGACAAGAGTGGCCACCATGCAGGAGGCAGGTGTGTCTGGGGCAGATGGGGGAGGCTCCGCAGCGAGCCCAGGAAGCCCAGTCCTCAGCGGTGGATGGGGCTTCCGTGGCCAATACAACCCGTGTGGCTGGATTACAAAGAAGGGTGTCTAGAAGCCGCACTGCCTCTCCCAGGCACCTCTGAGCTGGTCCCAGGAGGGGCTGCTGTGAGTTAAGGAGAACAGCAGTCAGCTGGGACTGAGAGTTACGTCCAACGAGAAACGGGGGAGTCCAGGGTGTTTCTCATGTACTGAGACAGCAAAGGACCCACAGGGTGTGTGTGCACAAGCAACTGCAGCTGCCACGAGGGCCAGGCTTGTTCTGCTGGTCCAAGGAATCCAGTGGCCACAGGAAGACATTTCAGCCCCATGCAGTGCCCAGCACAGGGAGCACCGCCTCTGCAGGGGCCGGGCTCAAGGCCACACCCAAGGCCCATGTCCAGCACTCCCCAATGACCAGCACTCCCCGGACACCCCCAAGGCCCATGGCCAGCACTCCCCAGCCACCCTGCCTCCCCTCCCCGCAGACACACAGCCCCTGGGACCCTACTCCAGCACTCCCCAGCCACCCTGCCTTCCCTCCCCGCAGACACACTGGGCCCCCACTCCAGCCAGTAACTCCACCACAGCCTCCAGGGGCAGGTCAGTCCCGTCTGCCGCCTCCACCCATCCAAACCGCCCTGGTGACCGCGCAGCAGTCTCCATGCCGCAAACCCAGACACGGGCTGCGTTGTTTCCCAAAGTCCAGGGTGGTCGGCAGCCGTAAATGAGCCCAGCCACCCCTTCCCCTGGGATCTACTTCCCCGGTAATCCTCTCCCCTTGAGCACGGACTGAACTCGTGGAATATGGAAACATGATGGAATATTGCTTCCAACCTCAGGCCACAAAACAACTGTGGCTTCCATTTCAGGGCCTCTCATGCTTTCTCTCTCTCTTATGTACTCCAAGGCAGGCAGCTGTCAGGCCATGGCTTCCCTCTGGAAAGCCCAGGTGACAAGGAACCTGGCCACAGTCAGTGGGAGCCCACTGTGGAAGTGGATCCTTCTCCTGCTGAGCCTTCTGATGAGACCTGGGCCTGGCCACAGCTTGCTGTCCTCAGGAGAAGCCCTGGGCAGGAGGTGCCCAGCTACAGGCCCTGGATTCCCGACCCCATAAACTGTGCCATAATGTGTGCTTTAAGCCATTGCATTTGGGATAACTTGTTATTCAAAAGTAGACAAAGGGCCGTAGATCTTCCTGAGCCCATGAAGAAAGCTCACTAATGAGGGCTCACTGAGTCTGGAGCAGCTTGTGTCCTGCCATTCCAGCAGCAGCAACGTGCGCAGGAGGAGGGTGGGGCCCCCGAGGGGCTCTCCTGCTCCCACACCCCTCCCCACTGGACGTGGCTATCCATGGACGCCAGGTGAAAATCCACATCACAGCAGCCTTGAAGGAGACATGCGGCTCCAGGGGGCTGAGGAGCAGGAGTGGGGATGATCAAATCAGATTCGAGAGCATCTCATCGCCCCTAATGGGGCCGCCCTCTCTCCATCCCGGACCCCTGCCTGACCGCCCCCTGGGAGCAGAGTGCTCAGCCACGATGGCCACACCCTAGGAGCAGAGTGCTCAGCCCCGCCCCCGCTGCACTGTGGCCAAGAGTTTGCAGGTGATTTGTAAACAACAGTAAGGTATGAACTAAGAATGTGAACCAGTCAGGGTTTGAGGCAGAGAAGGGAAGCCACTCCAGGTGTCTTCAGCAGGAAAGGAGGTAATGCTGGTGTCTCTGAAAGTGACTGGAAAGTTGAAGCAAGTTCTCACTTGGCTGTGGCTCCCAGAAACTACTTGCAGGACAATGTAAAGCCCACCCATCATGGGGGCCGCCATTCCTGGGGCTGCCATTGACCATGGATTCACCTGAGCCAGCTGGGGACCAGGAGCAGAAGCCGGGAGCCCGCGGGGTCACGGCTGCCATCCGCTGCCATCCAACTGCGTCTGGGGTTTGAAGAACGGACATCACGCAGAAATACTCACATCTCAACAACGGTGCTTTCCAGCAAACATGGCACAATGGCAACAAGATGCGCTCCTCTTCCGCCTGTCTTTTGGATTGCCTTTGGGTGCCTCTCGTTGGTGGACTCTGCCCAGCTGCCAAGCATCTTGGAAATGAGTTGTTTTGTTCTCTGTCTTCTCCAACCACAGGGAGAATGGAAGGAAGGTTGAATAAGCCAACCCCGTGCATGCCCCACAGAATGTAGAATTTAAACAGCTGGACGGCTTCAAGACAGTTCTGCCCATAGCCTGGATGTGCTTCTTCATGATGAAGACGACTTTGGAACTCCAGCCCAGAGACCCCAGGGACGTGGCGGCAACACATGGGCACCATGCTTCCAGGGGCGAGGCCTCTCCCACCACTGGCTTACCCACAGCACAGCTCAGCTGGGTCTGCCAGCTGCCACCGATTCACCACTGGAAGGCAATTCTCTGCGGGTGGCACATTTTCCATACACCCCATGTAGCGAGACACTGGCCTCCCCTTTGTTCAGGCCTACCTGTTCAAGGACGCCTGAAAGCAAATACAGCCCTGGAAGGCAAAGGCAGTGCCTTCCTCTGTGGCAGAAGACTCAGGGGTGCTCTCCTATGACCCTGACTCATGGTGTGTGCGGCAGCACTGGTCCCTTCACGGGGCTGAGTAGACATGGGGTCCTGCGGGTTCACAGCCACTGTCACTGCTGTAACAAGCTGTCCTCCCTCCCTGACCTCAGAGCCCCATATCTCCTCCCAGCACCCATGAAGCTGGGCAGGTTAGGTTACAGGTAGGGTGACATTCCAGAGCTGCCTCAGTCCTCAACACCCCGAAAGGGTCATCTTGAATGACAGGCAGTGGTCACAGCCCGGCATAGAGACCAGGAGAACGACTCTCCCTCTTGACCCAAGTCAGGAGCATCCGGCCGCCCACAGAGAGGGAGACTGGGCTCCTTTCAGGCTCCAGGAGCCCGTCCTGCTCCTGAAGCTCATGGTTCAAACCTTGTTTCCTGCTTTGTAAACACTTAGGAGTCATTGATTTAAAAGTGTCCAGACCCCAAAATGCCACACGTCTTTTTGTTTAACTCATAAAAAAATACTGACTATAAATGAGTCCAGACTCGTGTCTTGATGTTCAAAGCCTCCCACATTCTGTCCCAACCCGCCTTTGCCACCACCAGGGTCTCCTTCAGTACTGGGGGCGTGTCTCATCCTCCCATCTCCACACGTCACTGTTCCTGAGACTGTCTTTCTCGTTCCTTCCACCGGGCCAGCCCCAACCAGGGTAGACCCAGCCTCCGGCCCCTAGGAACCCCTGCTCGGAGCCTCCGTCACATTTTGCAGTGCCGTCACTGTGCACACATCGTCATCGCAACTGCACACACCTCCCAGCTCTCCCAGCGACCGTGCACACTTCATCATCACAACCGCACACACCTCCCAGCTCTCCCAGCCACCGTGCACACTTCATCACAACCGCACACACCTCCCAGCTCTCCCAGCCACCGTGCACACTTCATCATCACAACCGCACACACCTCCCAGCTCTCCCAGCCACCGTGCACACTTCATCATCACAACCGCACACACCTCCCAGCTCTCCCAGCCACCGTGCACACTTCATCATCACAACCGCACACACCTCCCAGCTCTCCCAGCCACCGTGCACACTTCATCATCACAACCGCACACACCTCCCAGCTCTCCCAGCCACCGTGCACACTTCATCATCACAACCGCACACACCTCCCAGCTCTCCCAGCCACCGTGCACGCTTCGTCATTGCAACCGCACACACTTCTCAGCTCTCCCAGCAGCCTCAGGTCCCTCACAGCAGGCTGGGGTTTCTTCATCCTGCACCCCTGCAAGTCCAGGACAGGGGCCCGGATTTGAAGCGTGGATAGTCCTGTGACCTTTGGATAAGTTACTAAATGTTTACAAACCTCAGGGTGTTCAAATGTGTACAAATAAAATTATGAAAATGAAAATGTGTAAATTGAACAATCGATATTTGTTGCTTTGTTGATGAAGGATGGCTGGCTTCCACAAATGCAACCCCAGGCAGTTCTTCAGGAAAGGCGGCCATCTGGAAGGTGCATTCGCCTTTCTGCCGTCTGCAGGCTTGGCCTCTAGCCGGGCGTCCAGCCTGCCTAGCCTTCCACAGCCCTCACTGAACACATCTTCTCCAAAAGTGCAAATCCAACGAGCTTGAGCTAATCACAGTGCTTTAGAGAAGGGACCTGTCTTCTTCCAGCTCCTCAATGGACTTCGATTCTGCTAACAGGAGCCTTGTTTTTGCAAGATAGGTCCAGTCTCGAGCCTTTCCGCTCCACAGGGCTCGGTCCCTGAACGCTGCCCAGGGCCTCCCCACACGGAGATTTCTCTTTCCTTTCACCAACACCAGAAAGATCAACCATAGCAGATTTTTTCATCTGAAAGGATTTTTTTAAAGTAACTATTTAAAAATGGTGTTTCCTTTGGCCATCTGTATTCTAAATGGTGGCTCCTCCCGCCAGAGGCCTCTGTGAGAACTGAACTGTAGACGCAGAGGGGCAGGGAGGAGGTCAAACGCAGTTTCCAGCGCCCGGGGCCGCCTAACTCTGCCTTTCTGCATTAACACTTGACGAGCATATTGACATACTAGGCTTTGCGATCCTCTTTCTATTTTTAAACGCTTGATTTATGCCTTTCAGTTGGATCTTATTCAACTAAAAATGTACTGTGTGTTCAGCTGAAAAAGAGTAAACATTTTCCATGGCTATGGCAATATGTTTGCATAGACCTCAATTACAAAATTAACAGGGCAGATTTGGTTGTCTTTGTTGAGCCGAAGAGATTACAATGAAAACCTCTAATGAAAGGAGACATGAGAAATAAGACCTAAAGACAATACTAAACAAGAACGGCTCGTTTATTCACTAAATTTGATTTACTAGACAGCTGTGTTGCTTCCATTTTAGAATTCAACAAGTAAGAATGTCATTTCTAAATGGCAGCAAAACCCGAAATCCCGGGTTAGAGCCGAGGGTGTGTGGGTCAGGGGGTGGACAGGGATGGGCGGAGGGCGTGGGGAGAGATGGTGACGGCGCGGAGCCTCCCTGGGCCGATTGGCACGATCCGCGCTCCGGAGTCACCTGCGCGCCAGCTGATGACACAGTGTGAATCTCCTCCAAGGTGTGACTCCATGTCCCGGGACTGGCGGAGGCAGAAGGTGGGAGGTGGGGACTGGCTGTGCCCAGCCTGGAGGGAAGAGGTGCTCGGGCCTGGGCTGGCGGGGCTGCCTCAGGGGCTGAGTGACCAGCAGAGCCCTCAGACCTGTGCCACGCTGCCCTGGAACGGGGACAGGTGACCCAAAGCCAGGCACAGAAGGGCGGGTGTCACTTTCTTCCCCTGGCCCGAAAGGCCCCTGCCCGCCTGGAGAGCATCAGGAGGCTGGCAGGGGACTGGTGCCATGGACAGGCCCTGGCTGACGATGGAGGTGGGCACGTCGGCCCACAGAGGCTCTCCTTGGCCTACACTCAGTTGGCTCCTGAGCCCTTTCTAATGAGGCCTGACCTGGGGCTTCCCGCTCTGTCCTCGTGAGGGGGAGCCGCTCCACTGGGTGAAAATACCGGCACATCAGCGTCATGGGAGCCCTGCCGGCCATCAGCCGTGGTCCTATCAAATCTGTCGGAGCCCCTCACCCTGATGCTTCCTGTTCACGGTGTTCCATCCCTGGCCCTTCCTCGTCCACGGTTACACGTCCTGTCCCCTCCCTCCCCATCCTCACGGCGGTAGGAGCTGAGTCCACTCTCCCCATCCCACGGCCCTGCTGCTGCCATCCTGAAACCTATCACCAGGGCCCCCGGAATGGAGCCAGCCTGGCCACCTCCAACACGCGTTTGGTGAGATTTTTTGTTTGTTCTTCAGCGTGATGTACAGAGAAGAGGGTGGGAGGATGTGGCCACAGGGCAGGAAGTGCAGGGTGACACCCAAGGGCTGACAGCTGCCCCCGAGCCCCTAGCCCCTCGCCTGGCCATCCCAGACCACCCCCAGACCCCATGCTGGCCACTGAGAGGCCATGCCTGGCAGGCCAGCAGCCCCCCAGAAACACCATGCAGCTACACACTGGCCGGTGAGGGCCCCACACACAGAGCCGGGAAAGCGAGCACCTGGCTGATGAGGGGCGCACACACGGAGCCGGGAGAGTGAGCGGGCAGGCGCACACTGTGTGCTGGGAAACCAGTGCCTCTCACTGCTCTCCAGTGCTGGGCACACACACTCCTGGCAGCAGACGGAAGGGCGGCTGCCGGGCCCTCAGACCCAGGACGGGCACCACGCTGGAGCTCAGCCATCCCGGCGGTGGCATCACAGAGAGTGGCCCTGCTCTCCCACAGAGTCCTTGCCCGGATGAGGGCTGCCAAGACAGGGCCATCGGGGAAGCTGCTGCCGGTTCATTTGCAGCTTCCTTCCGGAGGCCCAGATGCGGTTCTGCAGAAAAAGAGTGCTTCGGGGGCTCCGGAGCCCACCGCACAGCCCCGGCCACCTTGGAGCCACACTGGCCCCTCCGCTTCAGGTCTCTGGAACACCAAAGGAAGGTGGAGACCGGCCCCCGTCAGGACTAGGAAGCAGGGGGCTTCCCAGAGCCTCCACCGGGCTCGAGGCCAGGCAGGCTTCACCACACCCCGCCACAGCCCACCACACACCCCTGACCCCCAGCAGCGTCCTGACCCCAGGCCGTCAGTCCACATGCAGGCGTCGGGTGCACATCAGTGAGGGAAGGAAGGAACACAAGGCCAATGCCGATCACAAAACTGCCCCGAGAAAACGGAGAGAAGCCCCTCCATTCAGGGAGTTCCATTCCCAGGATGTGGCATCAGAGAAGGACCGCCCAGATGCCCGGACCCCTGAACTTCTCCCCAGCACTGACAGCTGCAAGCCTGGCCACACTCACAGCACGGAGCCCCGCCTGACGCCGCGGTCGCTTGACTTCACAATCACAGGAGCGTGACGCCTACAGCCTAATGTTGCCGTGTAGGGCACAGACTTCTTAAAAAGAATCTTCAGGGGATGTCGCCAGGTGATGGCGGGAATCCTCAGTGAGAGGGTGAGGCCACCGGGGCTGCTGTGTCCGCAGATGTGGTGCCACCTCCGAGGGCCTCCAAGGGTGCATGTGAGCCACAGTCACCACCACAGTGCGCCGACGACCGCCACAGAAACAGCCACGGCACCGCGAGGACCGTCCTGCACCACAATCAGGACACAGCGATAAAGATGTCGCATCCATCCACCGCTTAATTCCGTGCCAGCTTTTATTCACCACCTGAATCATGGTTCACATTTTTAAAGGTTGGGGGAGAAGACACAGCTTGTCCCAGAAGTCATGCTCGGGTGTCCAGAGGCCTGAGTGCCGATCTAATCGCAAGTGATTAGAATGTGGTACCGGGAGGGATAACAGCAGGAAGCAGCAGGCACAAGCGGGGTCGCCAGAGGGACAGGGATAGTCTGTAAAGGTGGGGACAAAGGAGTCAGTGGGGACAAAGGAGTTGGGTCGCGAGTGCAGGAACTGGGGGCTCTGGGCAGGGCAGGGAGGGGACTAGGCCTTGTGCTGTGGGAGGGAGGGACAGTGTAGAGCCAGACATCCCTGGGGCGCCTGATTCCCGACCCACTGTGGTTCCCAAGGGCAACCACACAGCTAAGCTGGGCACGTCTACCTGGAGCTTGGGCCCCTGGAGTGAGGGTTCAGGCCACCACCCCCAGCAGAGGCCGTGCTGAGGGACAACGGGAGCCCCATTAGGGCCGGACCCCCTTCCACCACCCACCCCCACGAACTTCCTTCAGGAAGACAGTCCTGGAGCCATGGAAGCTTCCTCCTCTCCCACAGCATGAGCTGGGTCCTCAGCCAATGTGGAGGGTGCGACTCAGACCCTCCCTGGAGGACGCCTGTCACTGCCAGAAACCTGAGGGCTGCAGCCTCCAGCGGCCGAGGGGAGGGCCCGGCCGCACTGTCCCTGCTGGACGTGCCTGGAGAGCAGTCCTTGCCGTCCGACCACCTCTGGTCATGACCTGCTGAGGAAGGGCTTACCCTCCACCCACAATGAACCCGCATTTCTGAGCCCCCGAGATCCTGACACCAAAGTGAAGCCTTGCGTGAGGACACGGGCGATAAGGCATCAGTGCAGCCAGGCGCGGCCCCAGCCTCTCGGAAGCGAGGCGAGCCTCCATCCCCGCTCCAGAGGAAATTAGTAAAGCTACCTGCAGATTATTATGGAAAATAGATTATCTCCTGCAGTGATGATTTAAAATAAATCCTGTTTGAGGACCCCACTGACACAGGACAGATGGAGCTGGCCCTGACACGGTGGATCGGGGGGGCCTGGCATCCGCAAGCCCAGCCCAGACCGGATCCTAGGGGGACTAAAGGAGACGCGTTCGGAATGGCACAGCTCAAAGGCAAGGAAGAGGAATTTAACTTTGGGGACTAACCTCATCTCATCTTGATTCCTAATATATCTATTTTTAAACTAAACAAAAGCAAACAAAAGATGCTCTCCCAGGGATCCAGTGTTGGAACTCGCCGTTGTGCTAAGGGGACAGCCAGGCCCACTGAGGCAGGGGGAGCAGGGGCCGCCTGACAGCCCCAGGAAGCCTCCTCGCCAGGCCCACTGAGCTGGGGGTGCAGGGGCCGCCTGAGGACCCCAGGAAGCCTCCTCGCCTGCAGCCCAGACCCCCCTCTGGAGCTTAGCCGCTTGACCCCCACTGGCTCAACCCACTTCAGCACCACTCCCCTCCATCCAGCTTCTCTCCCTGTCTAAACCACACACAGATGCTTCCCAGAGGTCAGCCTGATCTGTCCAGATGGGTTTCATGGCCCAAAGCTGAGGCCACACCCAGACCTTCCTCAGGTCCTGAATCCCAGGAAGAAAATTTCCAGGAAGAAAAAGCAGACAGAGGCACAAACAGGACCTCTGAATCTCCTTGTGTCTGCGAGGAGAAGAAATCAACACCATGAGCAGCTCACCTCCTGTCCCCATCCCAACCCCACCACCTCCTGTCCCCATCCCAACCCCACCACTGATCAAAAGGTCCTCGATGGGGTCCATGGATGCCACACGACGCTGGTCTCCATCACGCATTAGGAAAAGGAGACCACGGTGAGGTGAGGCAGACAGGAGCTGACCTGGGGGAGCACAGCGAGCTTCTGGAAATGGGCACTTGGCTCCCAGCACCCCAGGCAGGCAGCCCAGACAGTGAAGTCAGCTCGGCAAGCTCAGCCCGGAGTGCGGCTTACATGCAACTAAAACGCCCAGTGGGTTCAGTCCATCTCCATTCCAAATGCTTGAGCCAGAAAGATTAACTGTCTGAAGTCAGATTGTCACACACGAGCAGGGAGCAGGGGTTTTGGGGGGTGCAGACACTCAGGGCTATACCCTTACCGAGGCACGCCTTCCCGGCTTCTGTGTGAAGAGGGGGCCTTCCTATAAAGCCCGCCATGGGGAGAACTAGCACAGTGGCCCCGCCAGGGAATGCCACAGCTTTAAAACTGACCAGTTAGATTCCGTCTGAAGGAGAAAGTCTCCATGTCTGATTCTGTAAACAACTTCCAGCTGTCCCTCAAAGGAGATCCATAAGTTTGAATGATCACAGCGGGAACCTTGGAGCCTGTAGGTACATGGGATTCGGCTCAGTAAACATCTGCTGAGCACCCACTTTATGCCAACCTGGTTTAGCAACAGGAAACATGGAAGCAACTCCAAGTTCTTGTCCTCAAGGAGCCGGCAGTCTCACATAAGGACAGGTGTGTAAGCAGACAAATGACAAGATGCGACAGTGCGGGCATCTCAGAGATGTGGGTGGAGCCCCGGCTGCCACAGCTGCAGGCGAGTCACTGCATGGAGTGACTGTGGACACCTTCCCTGCAAGAACCCAGACCAAGAGGGGCAAAAAAGTCAAGGCTGAGTTGGCCGCGTAGAACAGGGCTACCCAAGAAAGCAGTCCGTTTCTCAATTGTGTGAAAGAAACCAGAGGCAGGCAGGTAATGCCCACATGAGGGCTCCTCCCATTACGGTGCCTCCCCTCTCTGGGAGTGGCCTCCTGTGGTCAAGAAGGCTGCCTAAGCTCCAGCCTCATGACCACATTCCCAGCAGCTGGAAGGATGAAGATGGAGAGAAGAGCATGAGACTAGAGATCCACTAGAGGAATTCCTTCACACAGTGTCTAGTTACCGCTCATTGCGAGTCATGCGGCAATACCTAGAGGTGAAACAGATTAGAAAACCAGGCTTTCACTGGGGCTCGTTGCTGCCCCAAATCAATGCAGGGTTCTGCTACAGAAAGAGGAAGGAGGACAGCGAATGGGGTAGGAAACAGCCCCCTCGACTGCAGATCCGCGAGGGCCAGGGGTCCCAGGCTTCTCCCTGACACCCTGAACTTCATCCACAAGGAAGGCAAGGAAAAGACAAAGAGGGGAGGGGCCTGGGAAGGCACGGGGACAGGACGGGGAGCAGGAGAGGAGGGGACATTCCTCGAAGTCCACGCATCTTGTCTGCTTCAGAGGGAATGAGTGCTGTGCAAGGAACTGTGCGAGCCACAGACACAAGCCACACAGAACTGCAAATGTTCTGGGAGTCGCATTTTTACAAAGTGAAAATAAATAGGAGAAATTTGTTTTACTATTTTATTTAACCCAATATATCTAAAACATTGCCATTTCAATAAGTAATCAGTAGAAAAAACGCATTAATAAGATATTTACTTTTACACCCACGGCACATCTCTACCTGGAGCGGCCGTGGCCACGTGGTGAGCACCGGCTTCACTGGGCCACGCAGCCTGAAGCCACCGGAAAACCCCTGTCTGGGGCACCCAGGAGCAGGCACCAAGACAGTCAGGAGGGCATTTTTAAGACAGAGTTCCCCAAACCACACCCATAAGTACACAACTGTGCCACCTACACATTAATACCACTCTGGTTATAGGGACATTGTCCCTATAACCAGAAAATAAATTTGGGAATGAAAACACAGGTGGCCTTGGTCGGGCAGGGCCGGCCAGCAGCTGGTCCTCAGCAGCCTGTGCCTGCGCCAGGCCAGCCCTCCCAGGTAAGGGCCACAGCAGGGCCCCGAGGCTGTGCAGAGAGTGCTCCCTTTCCTGTCCCTTATGGTCAACACGGGCTCTTCAGCCGCTGGCCGGCAGGTGCGGGTTTGAACAGTCCATGCAACCATTCTTGCTGAAGTCCGGCTGCATGGCTTCAAAGCTCCAGAGGGATGACGGCACCACATCCCTTTCAGAGGCACCTTTCGGAAATGCAGACTCTCCAACTCCACCCAGACCTGCTGGGCCGGAAGCTCTGGGCGGGGCCGGGGCACCTGAGTTTCATAAGCCTCCCCAGGTCCTGGGCCTGACTCAGGCTTCAAAGGATGGTCTTCGGCTTTGGTGTTTACTTTTTATTTTTCAGCAGTGACACATGATGGATGCTGCTCTTCTCAACTTCCTGCTGTCTTCCTGCCGACCCTCGACTCTCTCCACTCGAGGAGCTTCCGGGATGGATGCGAAGGAAAGAGGGGCTCCCCAGGGACACCTCCAAGCCAGCTCTAATACATATTAGACAACGCATTATTAGAAATGCTGCCTTTGGGACTTATTCATGAATGATGTGCAGCCTCCCCCAAAAGCATCTCTACAACAGTGCTTTTGCCAGCACATCCAAGAATGGATCTTCCAAAAGAGTAACCTCTGAACTTCCTGAAACAAGAACTACGTTTTGAAATTCGGAACGTGAATCCCAATGAGCATGCACACGTATTTAAAAGTTGTGTACAAGAACTGTTACTATGTTATACACATCACATAACAAAAAGACATTTTTGAAGGATGAGATAAGAATTATATAAAAGAAAAGTTTCTGTGTAATTTTGGAATCGTCAATCATTTCCTGCTCTCACTAAAATATGGTATAAATAATAATGATTTTAGAGAGTTCCATGCTTTGATTTGCTTAATTATTTCTGAAACATTTGATTTCCTTTTTTTTACTATTTTAACTTTTAAGTATTAAAAGTCAATATTCAGGGGTACATGTGCAGGTTAATGTCCAAGGGTACATGTCAGGTTTGATATATAAGTAAACTCATGACTCAGGGGTTTGGTGTACAGATTATTTTGTCATCCACATACTAAGCATACTACCCAATAGCTGTTTTTTGTTTGTTTTCGTTCTGCTCCTCTCCTTCCTCCACCGTCAAGTAGGCCCCAGAGCCTTTTGTTCCCCTCTTTCTGTTCATGTGTTCTTATCATTTAGCTCCCACTTATAAGTGAGAACATGCAGTATTTGGTTTTCTGTTCCTGTGTTAGTTTGCTAAGGATAATGCCCTCCAGTTCCACCCATGTTCCTGCAAAGGACATGATCTCACTCCTTTTTATGGCTGCATAGTATTTCATGGTTTATATGTACCACATTTTCTTTATCCAGTCTCTCATTGATGGGTATTTAAGTTGATTGCATGTCTTTGCTATTGTGAGTAGTACTACAATGCACATACGTGTGCATGTGTCTTTATGTTAGAGCGATTTATATTCCTTTGGGTATACACCCAGTAATGGGATTGCTGGGTCGAATGGTAGTTCTTTTTTTAGTTCTTTGAGGAATCACCACACTGCATTCCACAATGGCCAAACTAATTTACACTCTCACCAACAATGTATAAGTGTCCCCTTTTCTCCACACCCACGCCAGCATGCATGCTATTTTTTTGCCTTTTTAATAATAGCCATTCTGACTGGTATGAGATGGCATCTCATTGTGGTTTTGATTTGCATTTCTCTGATGATTTTTCATATGCTTGTTGACCAAGTATATGTCTTCTTTTGAAAAGTGTCTGTTCATGTCCTTTGCCCACTTTTTAATGGAGTTATTTGGTTTTTGCTTGTACTTTAGTTTAAGTCCCTTGTATAATTTAGATATTAGATGTTTATCAGATGTATAGTTTGTAAATATGTTCTCCCATTCCATAGGTTTTCTGCTTACTCTGTTGGTAGTTTCTTTTCACTTTAGTTTAATTAGGTCCCATTTGTTTACTTTTGCTTTTGTGCAATTGCTTTTGGCTTTTTTGTTATGAAATCCTTGCCAGTTTCTATGTCCAAAATGGTATATCCTAGGTTATCTTCAGGGTTTTTATAGTTTTAGGTTTTACATTTAGGTCTTTAATCCATCTTGAGTTGATTTTTGTATATGGTGTAATGAAGGGGTCCAACTTTGATCTTCTGCATATGGTTAGCCAGTTCTCCCAACACCATATATTGAAGAGGGATTCCTTTCCTCCTTGCTTGTTTTTGCTGACTTTTTCAAAGATCAGATTGTTGCTGGTGTGTGGTTTTCTTTCTGGGCTCTCTATTCTGTTCCATTGGTCTACGTGTCTGTTTTTGTGCCAGTTCCATGCTGTTTTGGTTACTGTAACCTTGTAGTATAGTTTGAAGTCAGGTAATGTGGTTCCTCCAGCTTGATTCTTTTTGCTTAGGATTGCCTTGGCTGTTTAGGCTCTTTTTTGGCTCCAATATGAACTTTAGGATAGATTTTCTAGTTCTGTGAGGAATGTCATTGGTAGTTTGATGGGAATAGCACTGACTCTGTACATTGCTTTGAGCAGTATGGCCACTTCAATGATATTGATTCTTCCTATCCAAGAGCATGGGATGTTTTTTCATTTGTTTGTATCCTCTCCGATTTCTTGGAGCAGTGTTTCGTAGTTCTTCTTGTAGGGATCTTTCACCTCCCTGGTTAGCTAAAGTCTTCCTAGGTATTTTATTCTTTCTGTGGCAATTGTGAATGGGATTATGCCCCTGATTTGGTTCTTGGCTTGGATGCTGTTAGGAAACCCTTGGCTTAACACTTTGCAGTGCAACTATCTGAAGTGACATTTAAGTTTAATTAATTTTGATACTCAGTTTTAATGACTATGACATCTGAAAAATGATTCTTCAAAATGATTCCTCACAAGGATACATTCATCACAGTGGAGAAGCACATCATTGCTATACTTCTAAACAGTGCTGTGTATTATTCAATCCCAGTGACCAACTCTGCCCAGGATTTTGTTAAAATTTGGGCTGTACGTTTCTATACTCCATGATGACAATCAGCTGTTCGTCCAGGCTAATTAGGATGTATTGAATTTCAATAATATTAACAAATAGGGCCAATCAACTGGAATCCCTTTCTTGGTATATTTTTAAACAAGTTTGAAAACTATTTTTTCAAGTTTCTTAAGGATTTAAATCAAACTTAAAAAAAGGTGACACATCACTCTTAGCCACAAAACCACATAATAAAACCACATTTTTGAACATTCATTTCAAAAATGTTTTCTCCACAGATGCATTTCTTTTGAAAGGTAGCTGCTTCATTCATTGTCAAAACATTATTAGCGAGGTTCTACCTTGAAGGGGTTGAGCATTTTAATATTTTTGAAAATATTTGATCAGTAGCATACTATGGATAGCCATTTATCATCACAGGGAATACTGGCAAATTTGGAGCCTTTGTTCTTTTGTAAAATGAAATGTGTAACTGTTGGCAACTCTTTACAGTGCTTGGCCATGAGCTGACCTTCAAAACTCTGTGCTTCACAGAGGAGAGTCAGGACACCGTCCCATCTCCTCACGAGATCCTCTGAGGATCCTGCCAGCTGAAAGAAGACACTGATGCTCTGTTCCCACTCAGGTTGCAGATGGCACAGGAAATGTGGCTCCCTCCATAAAGCGAGAAAAACTTAGATAATCTAAAAATTGTCATCTTTTAAAAGCTCATCGGAGACCTGAAACTGGACAGAAGCCCAGTGAGCTGAATCCACGGATCAGCAGCCTCCCAAGAAGTGCCCACAGCTGCCATCAGCCACGGACCAGCCATGGGGGAGGTGGAAGCTTCCAGGGACACAAAGAAGAAGACAACAGATAAGCTTCTGACAAATGTGTAAAGGCTGAATGTGGGGTGGCATTAGCGTTAGAGTGCCTGTGAGTCTGGACGCAGGAGAACCCACCCCCACCTCCAGGGATTTTTCATGGTCCTTCTCCAGGTGCCCTTAAGAAGGATGGGGTATATGGCGGAAGGCTGAGAGATGCCCTCCAAAACATGGGGATGAAAGGCCTACTGAGGAGCAAGGGTGCAGCAGAAGGGGGACGAGCCCTTCATACACCCCATGCCTTCTTCTGAGGCCTGCAGAGAGACAGGGAAGCAGAGGGCCCCACCTCTCAGGCGCAGGCGCATGAAGCCTGCAGAGAGTCAGGGAAGCAGTGGACCTCACCTCTCGGGGGCAGGCGCATGAAGCCTGCAGAGAGACAGGGAAGCAGAGGGCCCCACCTCTCGGGCGCAGGCACACGAAGCCTGCTGCAGTCTAAGGGCAGGGACCAAGGCCGAGCGAAGCCCCAGAGGCACCCCAGGGCTTGCACTGAGTACAAAGCAGGGGGCGTTTACCACAGGGAGGGGGAGGGGGTGGAGGGTTCCCCCAGGTGCAGATGTCAGGAGCCAGACGACACCCAAGGAAAGGCAGGGGAGCTAAGATGGAGCCCACAGGCACCTGAGCCCAAGAAAAGGAGAGTTCTGATTTGGCCTTCAAATCACATGAAGTCTGTGGTGAACAGAATCTTACTAAATTAACAGTAAAGCCCAAACCCAGCTCAGCTACAGAATAGGCTGACCAAACCCACTGCAGTACAGACTGGCAAGAAGAGGCCGCAGCCTGGGTGTGGGCGGCATACGCATGCCAACAAACAGGCTTCCAGCAGTCAACCAAACACGACAGGACACATCAGAAAACAGGAAAATGCCACCCACCATCAAGAGAGGAAACAGCCAACAGAACCAAACCTAGAAATCACTCAGATACTGGAATTTCAGACAAAAACCTTAAAACAACAATGCTAAATATGTTACAAAATCAAGGGGAAAAAAGGTGACAGCAGACACATGCAAATACTAGAAGTGAAAACGCTGTATCAGGTCAGAGCTCTCTTTACGGGTGCCTCTGCAGACTGTGGATAGCACGGGAAAGAATCAGTGACCTTGAAGACATGAATAGAAATTACCCAAGCTGATGAAAAGGGACAAACAGAGTGAGGGAGGGAAAAAAACAGAGCATTGGAGGCCTGTGGGTGAAGAATAATAGCAAGTGTACATGTTACTGGAGTTCCAGAAGGAGAGGAGAAAGAGAATGGGGCATAGAACTCTCTGAAAAAATAATGGGCAAGGACATTGAAAAAATAAGAGAACCACAAATGCAAGAAGCTTGGCAACTCCAAGTAGGAAACTACAAAGAAAGCACTCCAAGGCACATCATGGTCAGATTGCCGAAGGCAACCCAGAAAGCGCAAGTCTTGAAAACAGCCAGAGGCAAAAAGACATGGCACACACAGCGAGACAAGATGAGAACACCACCAACTTCCCATCAGAAACAAAGGAGGCCAGAAGATGAGAAAACATCATCTTTAATGTGACGAAAGCATCAACCTAGATTTCCAGATCTAGTAAAAATATTCTTTAGAACAAAGACATCCTCAGATAGGTGAAGGCTGAATGACTTTATCTCCAGAATAGCATTATCCAAAATGCTAAGAGAAGTCCTTTAGTCTGATGAGAAATTATACCTGATAGACATGATAAACACTAACAAAATTTTGTATCATGTTAAATACAAAATACCTTAAAAATATTTGTACGTATATGTATATGTATATATATGTTCTCTATTTCTCTGCATTTACATTTTCTCCCAAACATATATACGTGTGTTGAATAGGCTATTGATTGTTTAAAGTAAAAATAATTAAAAAGTAATTTGCTGTTTACAATATCTGTAGAAATAAAGACAAAATGTACAAAGGGATTATGCTATTGAAAAATTGCTTACACTATTTATGAAGTAGTAGATTTTTTTTAAGATGGAGGTTGACAAAGATGTACATTTTAATATCTGGAGCAAGCACTAAAAAAAAAGGATGATGCAAAAACACCAGATCAATGGAGGAAATAAGATTCAATACCAACCAAAATTACAGAATTCACCTTGGCAGGGGAAAAGGCACAGATCAAGAAAGGGCAGAAGAGATGATTTATATGTAGAAAATGTGGAGAAATATGGTAGAATCAAACCCAAATATATTGATATTGTATGTAAGTAGACTAAATACACAAGTTTAAAGGTAGATATTATAAAACTAATAAAAATGAAAGACCAACTATATATTGTTTATAGAAAACACAGTTTAATCCTAAGGACACAAAGAAGTTAAAAGTAAAATGTTGGAAAAAGATATACCCTGTATACACTAAGTGAAAGAAAGCTGCCGTAGCTTTATTAATACTAAAGCAGACCTTAAATGCAATGGTTTAAGAGAAAGGGAGGGGCAGCTTCTAATGATAAAAGGGTCGATTCATCAAGAAGACATAAGAATCTTAAATGTGTGCATCCCATAAGAAAGCTCTCTAACACTTGAAGCAAAAACCGTCCCAGGTCTTGGGTGCCATTCTCCACTCACAGGACCCAGGGCTCTTTGGAGAGAAATGGTGGATCCCAGGGCAGGGGCAGGGAAGGCACCAGAGAAGCCTGGAATATTGTGTTTCGTCAGAAGTTAGGCAGGACTCAAGCAGCCACAGCATCATGGGGAGAGGGCATGGAAGCCAGCTGGAGGGGCTCCTGCGGGCCAAATATGGGAGAATTTCAGCATGAAAAAAAACTAGTGAAGGTAACAGATTATATCCCATTGAATAAAATGGAAAACCATGAATCTACCCTGATAAAAATAATTACATAGGCCAGGCGTGGTGGCTCATGCCTGTAATCCCAACACTTTGAGAGGCCAAGGTGGGTGGATCACTTGAGCCCAGGAGTTTGAGACCAGCCTGGCCAACAAGGTGAAACCTCATCTCTACTAAAAATACAAGAATTAGCTGGGCATGATGGCATACCCCTGTAATCCCAGCTACTTGGGAGGCTGAGGCAGGAGAATTGCTTGAACCCAGGAGGCAGAGGTTGCTGTGAGCCAAGATCGTGCCACTGCACTCCAGCCTGGGCAACAGAGCGAGACTCTGTCTCCATAAATAAATAAATAAATAAATGATCTGAAGGGTTGATGAGGAATGGAATATTTACGTATTCTCATAATCCACCCCCCAAAGGCTGTTAGTTTCAAAGAGGGAAAGACTGAGCTCACAGTGGACACATCTGGCAGGCGCCTCACTGGGTAGTTGTAGTTGAGCTCAGGCACCACCCAACAGCAGGGCACAGGAAGGACACCACATGACTTCGGCAATTTTGCTGCCACAGGTGCATAATTTGAATGTCACGGTGAAGAGACATTGGACAAATCCAAACTGAGGGAAAAGTTACAACATAACTGTCTATCTTCTTCAAAAGTTTCAGGGCCAGAAAAGCCAAGGCAAGACCGCTAACCTCCAGACTGAGCGAGAACCAGGCGCCTGCCGACTCGTGGGGGTGTGATCTGGACTGAGCCACTCGCCATCTAATTGCAGTCTAAGACCTTGCTGGGGACAGAGGGCAGAAGCAGAGTGAGGTCTGGCTGTCAGGGAAGCAGTCGATCCGTGTTCAACTCCGGGTTCTGCTGGCTGTGACGTGGTTACGTAGGAGAACATCGTTGTTTGTAGGAAAAACAAACTGAAAAACATGGGGGTGATGGGGTGACAGGTCTGCAACTTATCACTAAATCCTTCAAGAAAAAGTTATTTTACTGTACTTGCCACTTTTCTGTAAGTTTGAGATTGTTTCAAAGTGAGGAAGCTTTTAAAAATTAAACTGGCAAGCCATAAATAGGGAGGAAGTATTTGCAATTCATATCTGACAGAAGGCTTGCAGCCGGAATCTACAACGATCACCTACGATCCAATGAAGACGAAAAACAGCCCAATAACAGAGGGCGACACACTTGAGAGGCACTTCACGAAGCAGACAAGCAAACGGCCAGCAAGCCCAGGAAAGGCGTTTGGAGCCACAGCCACCAGGTGGGCGTGGGGGACGCGAGACACCGCCTCACGTCCCTGAAATGGCCAGAATGAAAAAGGCTGGTAACTCCAAATGTTGGTAAGGACGTGCAGCCGCCAGAACCCACGAGCGGCTGGTGAGAATGCAGAAAGGTGTGAGCTCTTTCCACACCCACTTGCCAGTGGCTTATAAAGTTAAATATAACGCTTAGCACACAATCCAGAAATTCCACTTCAAGCATTTATCCAAGAGATGTTCAAACATGTGCACACACAACTTGCACACAAACGTTCATGGCATGTTTATTAATAACACATTAAAAAATAGCCAGAGGCTGGAAACAGCCTTGGTGTCTGGCGAGAGGAGTGGATAAGCTGTAGTACCTTCACACATGGGATGCACCTCACCCGCCCACAAGAACCCGCGAGCGGAGACACGGGGCACCAGGAGGACTCTGAAGAGCAGAGCGCCAGGCACGGAGGGCACGTGTGGCAGGCGGGAAGTTCAGGGATAGGCAGAGCTCACCTGTGCTGCTAGACACCAGCTCCACTGTGGCTCTGGCCGGGGGACAAAGGGAGCTTCCTGGGGCTCAGGGAAGTGGGTGGCGGGGAGCCTGCATCTGTCAGAGCAGCCGAATCGCGCATTTCTCATACCTCAGTTTTCACAAGCGTAAATGTCAGAGCAGGCTGGCACACAGGCATGCACACAGGCACAGACAGTGCCCCATCCATGTGCACACACATGTGAACATGCACACACACACCGAAGGAAGCCTGGTGAGTCAGGCACAGAGAAAGGGCCACACTGAAGTGTGCAGAAAGCACGGTGGAGTGAGGCCCTGCTAACTCGGAGGCCAGGGGACCCCACCCTCCCTCGGGACCCTTCCTGGCATGTGCGCCTCTTGTCCCTCTGACACACGGGCTGCACCAGAGATCACTGGGCTGAAGACAGGCAGCCCTGAGTCTCCCCGTCCGGAATCTCTGGACTGCACCTTGTGGGTGCTGAGGCACCCAGAGGCCTCCTGGCCCCCCTAAAGCACGGGCTTTGACATTAGGCACTTTCTCTTAGGGGCCACATCAGGACCCAAGGTGAAATGGCTCCAAGGACAACATTGCACCACTGTTCAGAGCTGCTTCCACCCGGGTGTCCAACTCAACTCAGCCCTTAGACACCCAGGCGTGGGATGCAGACTTCACCCCAGGAACACCGGACACCCCACTTGGTCCCAGAAGCGGCGCCTCCTCCCAGCTTCTCCATGCACAGCCCCACGTGGAAGCGGGAGCTCCTCTCCCCAGGACCCCAGCGACAGGGTGCACGGGAAGCGCTTTTTCTCTCCAGCCTGCGGATGGGGCGGCCCACACCAGGAGGGCGCAGAAACTGAAACAGGCGCCCGCTTGGCCTAGAGGCCTCCAGGGTGCCCAGGCCTCCTCCCCCAGGACACCAGCCCAGCGCCACCCACACGCCGCGGGTGGATGGGACTCCGGACACGCGGTCTACATCCCCCATCCCGGGCTCCCCGGGGTCTCTCGGTGTGGGGGGAGCCGGCCCCCCTGTGCCAGAGGAATGCGGCCTGAGGCTCTGTCGGAAACAATGATCTCAGTTCCAGGCAAGCTGCTGCGCGACATCCCCTCGCTGCATTCTTATTAAAACCTTAAGCCCAGCGTAAAGGCAGAGAAATAAAAATTTATTTCTCTTCTTTATGAGACACCTGGCAACACGTCCACAGAACAATATCCATAATCACTTAGCCAAATTTCCATCCCATTTTACTCAATTTTCTAGATAGCAGAGGTATATTTTTGGAGCGCAGAGATCTTTGTGCAATTTTCACTTCCCTTCCTCTTCCCCTTCCCGCACCTCCTCCCCCAGGAGCCCCAGGTGGGGATTGGGTTCGCGCCAACCTCGCTTCCGGAACAGGGTTCATGCTTAGGCAACCCAACTCCTCTCGGGCGCTGGCTGGGGAGGGGCCGAGACCTCCAGCAGAGGAGGAAGGGGCGCTGGAAGCTGCCAGGCCCTACGTGGGCCACCTCGGTGGGGTCCAGACAGCTCCGTGCAGGACACCATGCCGGCAAGAGGAGCTGGACCGCAGCCCTCCCCTGTTCGCGGCTGGGCGCCCCAAGCAGGTCGCAGCCCCACCTGGGTGGCCTCTCTGGCTGGACCGGGAGAGGAGCTTTGGTGCCTGGTGTCTTACACTGCATCTGAAGGAGGGTGACTCAGGTCCGCTTCACCTCCTGAACCTTGGTCTCCTCAGATGAAAAAAGAACGATATCTTAAAAACGCTGTAGGGTGGCTGTCAGAGCTAGAGGTAACCCGCAGGAAGTGCCTGGTGCGTATTAGGTGTTGATAACGATTTTGGAAATTGTCCCCTACTGCAGAGAGGCCACAATAACCAAACGCACCTCAGAGGTAATGACACCTCTGTATTCTTGGGAAACCCCTACAGGCAGGAGATCTCCATTCCAGGTGAGGCTGTTGACCCCTCGGGACCCCCAGACAGTTGACACTGTGGGTGCCTTCAGGATGTGCAGGTGTCTGGCCGTTGATCCAACAAATGCTCAGATCCCACACCGGCGTCTGTGCCAGACTCCACAGAGAGCAGGGGACATGGCTAGGGGCGAGGGTCTAAGTCAGGACGCCGGGCTCCTTGCAAATCTCCAATTTAATGCACCTGGTGACTTGTGAACAGGCTCTCCAAGGATTCAAATGTGTCCTTAAAGATCCCAAAACTGTGCAACACAGGGGACAATTAGGGAAGAGCTTGTGGTGTTTTTCAACACAGGGGAGGTGAAAGGCTGAAAACGCGCAGGGATGAAAGCACGTGGCTGGTTCTTCGGCGCAGCTCGGGGGACACCACATGGCCCGAGGCACACCCGCCACTCTCAGGCGTGGTGGCTCAGGGCTCCCGCCAGTGACACTCCCCCAACACCTGCAGTAAAGCCCTCTAAAGCAGCTGCTTTCACTCCTAGCTTTTCTGAACCTATATATTAGTTCTCTAATTTTTATTTGGCTTACAAAAGCAATTCATCATAAACAATAAAATTTTTAAAGTACAAAGAAGAAAACAAAAATCCTGACTAATTCTATAATCAGAGAGAACTCTCGCTATTTTGGGGCATATTTTCTAGTCTTTCTATCTTGATTGGTCAATTCAAAGGTAAATATACTTACATATAATAAAATTCATATATTTTGTATGTAACTTTACATATATAAAGTTTATATACTTTTAAGAGTCCCTCTTTACTGAAAGAGGTATGTAGCACACTTCCTGTATGAGGTCTGTTTATTTAGCCATTTTATATTGCCCCCATCACACTGCATATCACTATAGAGAAGGTCCCTGAGGTCGGATTTTTGACCTCACCACAATGCAAAGGGATGAGCAGGCAGTAGGAGCTGTCCTCTCACAATATTGGGCAGCCCCCAGGCAGCCATGCATTTTTTCTGTGGTGATGAGGTCTCACTGTGTTGTCCAGGCTGGTCTCAAACTCTTGGACTCAAGCCGTCCTCCCACTTCAGCCTCCCAAAGTGCTGAGATTACAGGCGTGAGCCACTGTGTCTGATTAGGCCACACGTTTTCAACTTAGGCACGTTTATTGGACGAAGCCCCATGGTAAGTCAAGAAGCAATTGTATTCTTCCACAGCTTTGGATTTACTAATTCCCTTTGATTTCTATATGGTGGTGCAGGTGTTTATTAAGCAAACCTCAGTTGCTGGACATGGGAAATTTCTGGCTTGACCCCTGAGGATCCTGAACATTCAGTCCATGTGGTCAAGGCCTTGGATGGGCACAGGAGCTGCACGGCTGGGAGGCAAGTGACCCTTGAGGACGCAGGGGCCGGTCCCTCCAGGCTGGGTCGCACATGGGCCACCCAGAACACGGGTCAAGTGACTCAAGGTACAGCTGAAGCATCTCTCCAGCGCCTCCTGCAAGGACAGTGCCACTCCTCAGGTCTCTGTGCACCAGTTAAGAAAGGCTTCTCCATAGCACTGCGTCCCCCAACTCAAACCTCCCCTACCAGGGCAAGGTTCCCTCTGAACCACGGGTTACAGCTGTGCCAGGGAACCCATACGTCTTGTGCCCAGGAGCCACCACCCTGGCAGGAGCACGGGAAGAGGCAGGGTGGCAGACATGCTGGGACAGGAAGTAGCACACGTGGGACCCAGACAATCCCAGCTGGTGCCTCCTGGAACTTCCTTGTCTCATTTTTGTGCAGCAAGCCTGGCCTGAAAGGGGTGAATTACCAAAGATTCAGACTCTCGCACCCTAAGAGTGAAAGTTCGGGTTACACCACGAGGTAAGCCACCAACACCAGTCAAAAGATTCCCCAAGGGTGAGGAGAATTTAACATGAACAGAGCAGGAGGGGAACACCAGTTCCAGCCCCATAAACAGTGGCCAGGGCTGCCAGCCATCCCACACACCCTCTTTAGAGCCTCGCCTCGGGAAGAGAGACCCACGGGAACATTAAAGAGCTGCTCCCCAGATGTGTCTGGAGAAATAGGTCTGTGTGGCCATGAAAATGGCTGAGACCTTCATCTGTGGGAATGAGATCTGAGGCCACAGCTGTTATGCCCAGGAACATGCAGAGGTCTCCCAGCCCCTATGCAGACAGAGGCCATGCTCTCCACGGGCTGCCCCCAGTTCATGCCCATCCTGGAAGACATGAGACTCCTCTGACAGACAACTTTAGCTCAAGGATCCCCACTGGCTTTGCCAAACATCCTCAGAACTGCACTGCAGTCTCAGATCCTTGTGCCAATCTTCCTCCTCCTCTCCCTTCTTCATGAGGATATGAGCTCAGTCATGGTCTGCTGGGTTACCCAACCCCCACTGAACCCCTCCCCATTTCCCCTGCAGGTGTGTTCCCTAATAAATCTAATTCCATCTTGCTACCTCCTTCTTGGGAGAGCCAGACTAGGTACACAGAAAATCCAATGAACAAAACAGATAAGCTCCTAGAATTAATAGATAATTGCAAAGATAATTTAGCAAGAATTTTGGATATAAAATCAATATATAAAAAATTAATTGGCCAGACATGGTGGATTACACCTGTAATCCAAGCACTTTGGGAGGCTGATATGGGCAGATCACTTGAGCTCAGGAGTTTGAGACCAGTCTGGGTAACATGGTGAAACCCCGTCTCTGCAAAAAATACAAAAAATTAGCTGGGCATGGTGACATGCCTATGGTCCCAGCTACTGGGAAGCTGAGGTGGGAGGACTGCCTGAGCCTGGGAGGCAGAGGTTGCAGTGAGCCAAGATCATATCACAGCACTCCAGCTTGGGTGACAGAGTGAGACACCATCTCAAAAAAAATACAGGATAAAATGTAATTGCATTTCTGTGCATCAGCAACAAGTAGAAAATTATACCTTAAAGATACCATTTATAATGGTGTTAAGAAAATAAAGTCCCTAAGAATAAATTTAACAAAAATTGTGCAAACCCATCATGTAGAAATTTATAGAATCTTGAGAGACATTAAGAAAGACCTAGGCAAACATGGAGAGATATACTATGTTCATAGATCAGTAGAATAAGTATTATAATGTCATCTTTCTCCAATTCAATTTATATTAGTCTATTCTTGCACTGCTATAAAGAAATACCTGAGACTGGGTAATTTACAAAGAAAAGAGGTTTAATTGGCTCATGGTTCCTTAGGCTGTACAGGAAGCATGGCAGCATCTGCTTCTGGGGAGGCCTCAGGGAGCTGTTACTCATTGTGGAAGGCAAAGCAGGAGCAGGCGTCTCACATGGCAGGCGCAGGACCAAGAGATGGGGGAGGTGCACACACTTTTAAACAACCAGATCTTGTGAGAACTCACTCACTACCAGGAGAATAGTACCAAGGGGATGGTGCTAATCCACTCATGAAGGATCCACCCCCATGATCCAATCATCTCCCACCAGGCCTCACCTCCAACACTGACCGTTACAACTGAACATAAGATTTGAGTGAGGACACAGATCCAAACCATATCAGATGCCTTACAATCCTAACCAAAATACCAATTTTGTTGGTGGGGCGGGGGGGCAGGTAGAACTAGATTCTAGCATTTATATGAAAGAGAAAAAGTCAGATATAGCCATTCTTGAAGAATAAGAACCATAGAAATTAAGACAGTCTTGTAGTGGTGTGGTGGCGTGGGGCAAGACAATTTGATCAATGGGAAAAAACACACATATACAGATTCATGCTTTATGACAGAAACAGTACTTTAGATATAGCTTTTCAATTACTGGTGCTTGGAAACTGGATACACTTATGAAAAATGAATGAAAATGGGTTCCTGCCTCATTCCATATGTTAAAATTAATCCCATGTAGATTAAAAACAAAATTTAAAGATAAAACTATAGGTTGAGCATTTCAAATTGGAAAATCCAAAATCTGAAACTTTTTGAGCACCAACATGATGCTCAAATGCACTGTACATTGAAGCATTTCAGATTTCAGATTTTTGAATTAGGGATGCTGAACAGGTAAATATAATGCTAATATTCCAAAATCTGAAAAAAAAATCCAAAATCTGAAACATTTCTGGCCCCAAGCATATTGGATAACGATACCCAACCTGTACTAACGTTTTAGAATAAAATATAGAAGGCTATCTTCCATGATTTCAGTGATGGGAAGTATATATGTAGGGCATCAAACTACCTGACTTGAAGCTGTACTACGAGGTTACAGTAACCAAAACAGCAGGGTACTGGGTTGAAAGCTAAAACAAAAACATAGACCAATAGAACAGGATAGAGAACCCAGAAATAAGGCTGCACATCTACAGCCATGTGATCTTTGACAAGGTCAACCATAACATGCAATGGATTCCCTATTCAATAAATGGTGCTGGGATAACTGGATAGCCATATGCAGAAGATTGAAGCCAGACCCCTTCCTTTCACCATATACAAAAATCAAATCAAGGTTAATTGAAGACTTACATGTAAGACTTAAAACTATAAAAACTCTAGAAGAAAATCTAGGAAATAACATTGTGGACATGGGCCACGGCAAAGAATTTATAGTTAAGCTCCCAAAAGCAATTGCAACAAACATAAAAGTTGACAAATGGGACCTAATTAAACTAAGTTTCTGCACAGCAAAAGAAACTATCAACAGAGTAAACAGAAAATCTACAAAATGGGTTAAAATATCAGCAGACTATGCATCTGACAAAGTTCTAACATCCAGAATCTATACGGAACTTAAACAACTCAACAAGTTAAAAACAAACAACTACATTAAAAAATGGGCAAAGGACATGAAAAGACACTTCTCAAAAGAAGACATACATGCAGCCAATAAACATACAACTATATGTTCACCATTAATCATCAGAGAAATGCAAATCAAAAACACAATGAGATAATATCTCACACCAGTAATTACAGCTATTATTAAAAAGTCAAAAAACAACAGATGTTGGTGAGGGTTCAGAGAAAAGGGAACACTGATACATTGTTGATGGGAATGTAAATTAGTTCAGCCACTGTGGAAAGCAGTTTGGAGATTTCTCAAAGAACTTAAAACACAACTACCATTCAACCCAGTGATCTCACTACTGGGTATATGCCCAAAGGAAAATAAATCGTCCCACCAAAAAAGCAAAACAAACAAAAACACACGCACTCATGTGTTTACTGCAGCACGATCATAATAGCAAAGACACAGAATCAACCTGGATGCCCATCGACAGTGGACTGGATACAGAAAATATGGTATGTGTAGACAATGGAATATTACGCAGCCAAAAAAAGAATAAAATCATGTCCTTTACAGCAACATGGATGTAGCTGAAGACCATTATCCTAAGCAAATTAACAAAAGAAACTGAAAACCAAATACCGTCTGTTCTCACTTATAAGCAGGAGCTTATAACACACAGGGACACAAAGACGGGAATAATAGACACGGGGGGCTACTTGAGGTGGGAGGGTAGGAGGTGGGGGTGGGCTGATAAACTACCTATTGGCTACTATGCTCACTTACCACCTGGGTGATGGGATCATTTGTATCTAAAACTTCTGCAGCACACAATCTACCCATGTAACAAACCTGAACATGCACCCCCTGAACTAAAATAAAAGTCAAAAATAAACTAAAAAGCAAAAATACACGTTTGCTAACCATAACATTTTTAAAAAAACATAAATATAGATAGATCTATATTGAAACTTAAAATGTCTGTTCAAGAAAGGACAACACAAAGAAAGTTAAAATCTTGCTAGAAATTGAAAGATATGTGGAATATATGTAACCAACAAAAGACCGGTATATAAAATACATAAGTAACCCCTACAAATCAATAACAACCCTCCAAAAAGTGGAAAACACTTGAACCAGAAATTCAAAAATAAAAAGTTCAAGTGGCCAGTGAATATATAAAAACATGTCCAACCGCATTAGTATTTAATAAGTAAAAATTAAAGCCACAATGAGATACCATCATGCAGTAGCCAGATTAGCAAAACTTTTAAAGCCTGGCAATGCCGAATGTTCCAGGATGCTGCGCACTGGTAACTTTCAGGAACTGGTGGTAGGAATGTAACTTGGCACTTTGTAAAATAGCTTGGCACTGTGCAGTAAAGTTGACGATATCCTATGACCTAGCAATTCTACCCATGGGTATTTACCCTAGAAAAACTCTTGCGTATATGCCCAAGAAATGTTCACACTGCAACACTTGTAACAGGCAAACATTGCCAATAATCCAAATATCCATTAACAGTAGAATGGCTGAAGAAGTTATGGTATGATAAAAAAAAAAACAGAATAGTACATATCAATGAGTGAATGTCAGTTATAGCTGACATGATATCAATGTGATACCTTCAAATTATAGGTATCAGTATGACCTCACTTATAAAATATGAAGGATGGCACTAACATAAAATTCAAGTGTAGGCAAAATGAATCCATTATTGTGAGGAGTATACGCACAGGTGGTAAAATTATAAGGAAAAGCAAGAGAGTGATTGCCACAAAAGATAAGATGATTAACCTGCACAGAGAGCAGGAAATATCATCAGAAAGAGCCAAGAGGCTTTCAGGTTACTAGAAATGTCCTGTATTTTAAACTAGGAGGTTGTAACGTGGCTGCTGGCTTTATGATTAAACTTTAAACTATATATGTGTGTGGAGAAATTATATAAAGTCCATATAATCAAAAGCTGCTTCTTTTAAAAAACCAATAAATCTGAAAAACCAGCACTCCAATAAAATAACTCTTGTCAAAATTATCTTTCCAAACACAATGACCAATTTTCTATCATCATCTAATTCTGTCTTTCCACAGTATTCAAAAGAGCTGACGACGTGTTCCTTGCAACTCCGTTCTCTTGGCTCCTGAGACTCTCCAACTCTCCTGCAACTCTCCAAGTCTCCTGCTCAACCTCTAAAAATTCAGGGTTAGTCCTGAACTCTCTTGTCTGTACTTTCTTTCAAGGAAATCTCATACCATCAAGTACTATTTCTATGCTGACGATTCCCACACACGGAGCTCTAGCCCTGGCCTCTCCTCTGCTTAGTTAGTGTCTCTTAGGACATTCTGTGCTGTAAACTCCAGCCACCTCAGCTTCCCAGGACAACCGGCTCCATCTCACCTCAGAGAAATTGCCGCGCCTGCCCGGGCCCTGCTCCCTGTTGTGCAGACTGTCAGCTTCATCCAGATGGTAAGTCAGGGCAACTGCAGGACTCACCTTGGTTTCTCCAGTCTCTTAGGTCTCTGTCCTCCGCTGTCAGGTGTATATGAGACTCACTGTTATATTTTGTCTTGTTTCTTCGGGACTTTTGTTTGTACCAGGCAGGAGGGTAAATCTGGTCACTATTATTCCATTTGAGCCAGAAGTCAAAGTCTTCCTTCTCTACTAATTTTAAAAGTGCAAATTAACAACGGTACATCATAGATATAATATTTGTTGAATTAACTACCTAATTTTAAAATGAGAACTAAGAAGGGTCTTGTCTCAGCAGTTAAGAAAAACAAATACAAGATAGTAGATTTAAACCCAACCAAGTGAATAATCACACTAAATGTAAAGTCTACAAACTCCAATTAAAAGGTAGAGATTGCCAGATTAGATAAAACACACACACACACACACACACACACACCCCAACTGTATGCTGTCTACAAGATGCCCATTTTAAATATAAAATCATAAATAAGACTAAAAGTAAAAGAATGAAAAACCTATGTATCATGCTAATATAAATCAAAAGAAAGCTGGAGTGGCTATAACAAAGTATATTTTAAAGCAAAGCATATTACCAGGAATAGAAAGCCTCTTTATAATGACAAACAGGACAGTTCATCAAGGGAACATAACAATTCTAAATACCTAAGAGCCTAATAATAACAGAGATTCAAAATGCATGAAGTAAAAATGAGAGAAGTGCAAAGAGAAATAGGCAAATTCCTAATTATAGTCAGAGATTTCAACAACACTCTCCCAATAATTGACAGTAAAAGTAGACACAAGTCAGTAAGGGTGCAGAAGACCTCAATGGTTAATATGATTAATATCAACCAACTTACACTGATTGACTTCACAGGACACTCCACCACCAAACAGCAGAATAAGATTCTTTTATTCTGCGCTCACAGAACATTTACCAAGACAAACCTTCCTCAGGGTCATAAAACAAATCTCAATAAATGTGAACTCTGACCACCATGAGATTACATCATAAGTCAGTAACAGAAAGATATCTGGAAAATCCATAAATATTTGAAAGCCAAATAACAAACTTTTAAACAACCCACAGGTCAAAGAACAAAACAGAAGAGAAATTAGCAAGTATTCTGAAATGAATACAAATGAAAGCACAGCATATTAAAATTTGTGAGCCAGACGCGGTGGCTCATACCTGTAATCCTAACACTTTGGGAGGCCAAGGCAGGTGGATCACCTGAGGTCAGGAGTTTGACACCAGCCTGGCCAACAGGGCAAAACCCCATCTCTACTAAAAATCCAAAAATTAGTCAGGCATGGTGGCAGGTGCCTGTTATCCCAGCTATTCAAGAGGCTAAGGCAGGAGACTTGCTTGAACCCGGGAAGTGGAGATTGCAGTGAGCCGAGATCACGCCACATCACTCCAGCCTGGGTGAAAGAATGAGACTGCGTCTCAAAAAAAACTAACTGTGGAATGCAGCAGAAAGATTTCAGTCACCTTACCCTCCATCTCAAGAAAAACAGAAAAACTCGGAGTTATAAGAAAGGAAATAATAAAGATGAGAGCAGAAATCCATGAGATATAAAGCAGAAAACAATACAGAAAAATCAATGACAACAAGAGCCACTGCTTTGAGATGAGGAAAAGTGATTAATCTGTATCCAGGCCAATCAAGGAGAAAAGTCACAATTTACTAATACCAGAAATGAGGTTACAGTAATGCCATTACAGTTTCTATAGATATTAAATGAATAAGAAAATACCACAAACAACACTCTGCCCATTGATTTGACAACTTAGATGAAATGGACCAATTCCCTGAAAGATACAGCTACCATAATTCACGAACAATTCAGAACCATTTGAGCAACAAAATAAAGGATTGGACTATAACGCAAAATAGACAATAAATCTCCATACGTCCACAATGAGATAACAAATGCTTGAATCAATACACGGGGGAAAGACACCGTCTCCCATGTAGAATTTCAAATAATGTATGTAGATATTCTACTCTCAAGAAGCTCCTGGCCCTTCAAGTTGGGGCTGCGCAATGGTCCCCTCCTAAAGAGAACAATAGGAAAAGGAGGAGAAAAGCAGCGAGTCTGCAGTGGAGAAAACACGACCTCAGCCAGGCAGGGGTCAAGGTCAACACCAACAGTGAAGTCATGCTTTACAACATGTGATGAGAATGGCACTTTGCCCTGGTCTTTCTCCCAAAAACCTATACTCTCCAGTCTAATCATGAGAAAAATATCAGACAAAACCCAACTGAAGGATATTCTATAGAATATCCTCAAAATTGTTGGTGTCATCAAAAACAAAAATCTGAGAAATGTCAAAACTTAAAGGGGCCTAAGGAGATAAAACAACCAAATGTAATGTGGTGTCCTGGATGGAATCTGGGAAGGGAGAAAGGTCATGTTGAAAAAGCACCATCTGGCCGGGTGCGGTGGCTCACGCCTGGAGTCCCAACAGTTTAGGTGGCCGAGGCGGGCAGATCACCTCAGGTCAGGAGTTTGAGACCAGCCTGGCCAACATGGTGAAACCCTGTCTACTAAAAATACAAAAATTAGCTACGCATGGTGGTGCACGCCTGTAATCCCAGCTACTCGGGAAGCTGAGGCAGAAGAATTGCTTGAACCTGGGAGGCGGAGGTTGCAGTGAGCTGAGATCGTGCCACTGCATTCCAGCCTGGGTGACAGAGCAAAGCGAAAGAAAGGAAGAAAGGAAGGGAGGGCGGAGGAAGGAAGGGAGGGAGGGAGGGAGGGAGGGAGGGAGGGAGGGAGGGAGGGGAAAGCACAATCTGACAGAAATATAACATGAGCAACCTATGTAGCTTAAATTTTCTAGCAGCTATGTTAAAAAAGTAAAAACAGGTAAAACTAATCTTAATAATTATTTTATTTTACCAAATATATACAAATAGTATCACTTCAACATGAAATCAGTATAAAAAATATTGAAACAGTTTACATTTTTTCCATATTAAATATGTGAAATTTAGGGTGCATTTTACACTTACCCCATATCCCAGCTGAGACTAGCCACATTTCAAGTGCCTGGCAGCCACCTGTTATGAACAGGGCAGAGCTAAATAAATAGCCTTGATCTAAAGCCGGCAATTGAAATTACGATCATCACAGTGAGGACTCTGCATTAACTGTAGGATAATACATAGACATTGCTTCCTCTGAAGAGTTCCATTTCATGGTTAAATGACAGCAAAGGCTGGGCGCAGTGGCTCACGCCTGTAATCCTAGCAATTTGGGAGGTCAAGGCGGGTGGATCACCTGAGGTCAGGAGTTCGAGACCAGCCTGGCCAACATAGTGAAACCCGGTCTCTACTAAAAATACAAAAATTAGACAGACATGGTGATGGGAGCCTGTAGTCCCAGCTACTCAGGAGGCTAAGGCACAAGAATCTCTTGAACCCAGGAGGCAGAGGTTGCAATGAGCTGAGATCTGGCCACTGCACTCCAGCCTAGAAGACAGAGTGGGACTCCATCAAAAAAAAAAAAAAAAAAAAAAAATGACAGCAAAAAAGCGGCAGCAGCTTCCCTGTGCATGTTGGCGTTTGTCTATATTTTAATCCTATAAACTTTACCCCAGGAGACTCTGTCCACACCATGGACTTAGATGAAAATCCCTATACTGATGAGCATAGAACCTAGTAAATGCTCAGTTAAAAAAAAAAGATGAGCCATAGACTGGAAGGAAACATTTGCAAGTCACCTATCTAATAAAACACTTTTATCCAGACATATTTTTAAAACTCTCAAAACTCAGTAACAATAAAAATGGGCAAAACATTTTGACAGGTAAGGTTTCATAGCAAATAAGCACATGAAATGATGCTCAATAATCTCAGACATTAGGAACACTGACGCCATTTACAAATCAGATCGATTAAAGCCACAGTGAAATGCCACTACACACCTATAAGAAGGCCTAAAATTAAGAGTGCTGACCACGCTAAGAATGGACAAGGACTGGAGACCCTGGAATCTCACACACTTATGCTGAGAATTCAAATGGTTTGACCATTTTGGCAGTCTCTTAAAAAATTAAATGTAAACCTATCACATGATCTAGCCATTCCTCTCCTAAGAATTTACTCAAGAAAAATGAAAGCATTTATCCATATAGCTTGTGCACAAATGTTCACAGCAGCTTTGTTTATAATGTACTAGTAAACACTGGGAACAACCCAAAGAGGCCCACACAGGAGAACGGATGAGCCCACTGTGATGCAGCCACAGCAGGGGCTACTCGGAAAGAAAGCAGAGCTAACTTCTGATGCAGGAACAACATGAAATGCACCTGTACATAATTAGCTTTACTGAAAACACCCGACACAGACAAACCAAATGTAACAGAATTCTACAAAATGCGAGCCATCTATGACAGAAAGCAGGGCGGTGGCTGCCTGGAGATGGGACCATGACGCGAGGGGTGGGGAAGGGGCTACGCAAGAACACTTCCTCCAGGGCTGTAGTGTTGGACTCCTGCTGCCCACGCCCATCAACACACATCAGATTACAGTCTTGAATTGTGTTAATAGTAACATAATAATATATTCTGTGTCACAACAACCTAACCAGTGAGGCTACAACTGAGCATATTTCTTTGTGTTTTATATGTTTTAGTGTGTTTTGTATTTCTTTCCTAAATTCCTCATTGATGTGCTTGGAATTATTAGTAGACGTTATATTCATTTACAAGGGCCTGCTATAATTAAGAATGTAGATTTTGTGGTCAATGTTGTAATTAGATTTTCTAAGTCTGTCATGTGTCTTGACTATTGTAATGTTGACTTTCACTGGGAAACAGTTTTTCATTTTATGTAGTTAAATCTTTCATCATCTTCCTTTATAGTTTTCATCCTTGGTGTCATGTTAAAAGCCAGAAACCCTGGGACTATAAAAATATTGCATTTTTTTCTAGTAATTATGCTTTTAATCATTCATATTTACCCCATCTGAATTTAATCTATCTGAATTTTTCTTCTGAGTTAAAGTCCTTAATTTAAATTTTCTCCAACTGGTTTGTGCCTGAAACAATTTACCCCAAAGCATTTGTTCAATAATCAGACACTTGACATATTTCTGTAGTGAACCTACTAATGACCTGCAAACACTGGCAATTCGTCATTTTATTCCGCTCCATGGATGTTTCTTTCTGTTCCTATACCACACTGCTTTATACACTGTAGCTTTATAATATATTTTGATACATGTTTGGCAAATTTCCCTTTTTCTTTTTCTAAAAGAAAAAAAATTAAAGGAAAAAAACCAAACTTCCTGGAAATTTTGAAATGTTAACTATATCCAGAATTAAGAAAATTAACAGAAATTACATACTAGTTAGGTATTAATAACATTGAAAATAAACCATATATGTAAAAACCTGTGACAGTAACTAAAGTTATATGCAGAGGATAACTCACAGTTGGAAATGCTTATTAAACAATGACACAATAAATTCTATACACATTCAATTCATGAAACATTAAACCAAATTTAGATATTAAATATAAAATAGTAATTTATGGCCAGGCACAGTGGCTCACACCTGTAAACCCAGGACTTTGGGAGGCCCAGGCAAGCGGATCACCTGAGGTCAGGAGTTCGAAACCAGCCTGGCCAGTATGGTGAAACCCCATCTCTACTAAAAATGCAAAAATTAGCCAGGCGTGGTGACACGCACCTGTAGTCCCAGCTACTTGAGGAGGCTGAGGCAGAAGAAACGCTTGAACCTGGGAGGCAGAGATTGCAGTGAGCCGAGATCACGCCACTGCACTCCAGTCTGCGCAACAAGAGCAAAACTCCGTCTCAGGGGGAAAAAAAAAAAGTAATTTATAAATAAAGCAAAAGAAAAAAAGTGTATCTATAGTAAAATAAGTAACACCCACCCCCCCAAAAAAGATAATTCTTGAAAGACATAAACTATAAACAAAATTTGGTAAATGTGACCAGCAAGGAAAAAGAGAGCCATGAATAGAAAATATTAAGAAAGGACTATAACTCAACAATGAATATTTGAAAAATTATCAAGGAATCTGTGTAAAAATGAATGCCAACGAATTTGAAAACCTAAATGAAAATGCATACATTGCCTCAGAATTAGGATATCTGAATGGTGTGGTAACCATAGTAGAAAGTGGAGACATTCTTTATAATCTGCCCACCAAAGATGCCGAGCAATTCATATGCTGCTAAAACTACAAGTCATTAGTACAAATACTTGTCCAAGACGGTGATTTTTCTGACAGTTGGCAAAATTTTAAGAACCACATCATGAGCTCATCTGACCCGCCATTCTTCCTTTCTTTCCACCAAGTCATATTCCAATAGACCCTTGCACAGTCCAGTCCAGGTTCACCAAATACAGAAAGAACCTGGCCCCATCTACCATTTACACACTGAATTGCATTCTTTTGATCATTATTTCCATACCAAAGAATATGGCAGGCCTCAGAGGTATCATGGGTCTGGTTGCAGACCACAAGAAAGTGAGTATCACAATAAAATGAGTCACACACATTTTTTGGTTTCCAAGTGAGTGCATCCAAAAATTATGTTTACACTATAGTCTATTAAGTGTGCAACAGACAATGTCTAAAAAACCAATGTGCATACTTAAACAATACTTTATTGCTGAAGTATGCTAATGGCCATCTGAGCCTTCAGCAAGTTGTCATCTTTTTGCTGGTGGAAGGTCTTGCCTAGATGTGGATGCCTCCTGGCTGATCAGGGTGGTGGTTGCTGAAGGTTAGAGTGGCGGTGGCAGTTTTTTAAAAAAGACAGCAATGAAGTTTGCCACATCAATCCACTCTTCCTTTTGCAAAAGATTTCTCTGTAGCATGTGATACTGTTGGATAGCATTTTACCCACACAGAACTTCTTTCAACATTGGAGACAATCCTCTCAAACCCTGCCACTGCTTTATCAACTGCGTTTATGGAATATTCTAAATCTTTTGTTGTCATTTCAGCAATCTCCACAGCATCTTCACCACGAGTGGATTCCATCTCAAGAAACCACTTTCTTTGCTCATCCATAAGCAAAGATGATGGATAGATGTATGTTGCAACTAGATGGCTAGATGAATGAGCAACTCCTCATCCATTTAAGTTGGATCCTAAGATTGCAGTAGTTCAGTCACATCTTCAGGCTCCGCTTCTAATTCTACGTCTCTTACTAGCCCCACAACATCTGCAGTTCCTTCCTCCCTGATGTCTTGACCCCTCAAAGTCATCCATGATGACTGGAATCATCGTCTTCCAAATTCCTGTTTTGCTGACATTTTTACCTCCTCCCACGAATCGTGTTCATAATGGCATCTAGAATGGTGAATCCTTTCCAGAAGGTTTTCAGTTTACTTTTCCAAGATCCATCAGAGGAAGCACTATTTATGGCAGCTATAGCCTTACAAACCGTATTTCCTAAATCATAAGACTTGAAAGTTGAAATTACTCCTGATCCTGTGGAACGGATGTTGTCTTAGCACGCATGAAAACAACATGTATCTCCTTGTACAACTCCGTCAGAGTTCGTGGGCAACCAGGTACACTATCAATGAGCAGTAATATTTTGAAAATAACCTTTTTTTCTGAGCAATCGATCTCGAGGGGGATTTAAAATATTCAGTAAACCAGGCTGTAAATAGATGTGTTGTCATCCAGGCTTTGTTGTTTCATTTATGGAGCACAGGCAGAGTAGATTTAGCATCCCTCTTCAGTGCCCTAGGATTTTCAGAATGGCCAGTGAGCATTGGCTTTAACTTAACATCACCAGCTGCATTAACTAGCCCCTAGCAAGACAATCAACCCCTCCTTTGAAGCTAGGCACTGACTTCTAACTATGAAAGTCCTAGATAGCATCTTCTTCCCATAGAAAGCCCTTTCATCTACAGTGAAAATGTGTTAGTGTGGCCACCTTCATGAATGATCTGTTATCTCAGCTAGATCTTCTGGATGACTTGCTGCAGCTTCTCCATCAGCACTTGCTGCTTCACCTTGCACTTGTGTTACGGAGATGGCTTCTTTCCTTCAACCTCATGAATCAACCTCTGCTAGCTTCCAACTTTTCTTCTGCAACCTCCTCACCTCTCTCAGCCTTCACAGAATTGAAGTTAGGGCCTTGCTCTGGATTAGGCTTTAGCTTAAGTGAATGTTGTGCTGGTTTGATCTTCTAACCAGACCACTACAACTTTCTCCGTATCAGCAATAAGGTTGTTTTGCTTTCCTATCTTTCTGTGTTCACTGGAGTAGCACTTTTAATTTCCTTCAAGAACTTCTCCTTTGCATTCACATGACCAGCTGTTTGGCGGAAGAGGCCTTTCGACCTGTCAGCTTTCAACATGCCTTCCTCGCTGAGCTTAGTCATTTCTAGCATTTGATTTAGAGTGGGAGACGTGTGACTCTACCTTTCACTTGAACACTTAGAAGCCACCGTAGGGTTAACTGGCCTTATTTCTATATTGCTGTGTCTGGGAATAGGGAGGGCTGAGAAGAGGGAGAGAGGCTGGGGAATGGTCACACAGTGGGGCGCTCAGAACACATGCATCATTTATGGATGAAGGCTGCCCCTTATATATGCCTCAGCTGCACCACACATCTCTTCCACATATGCCTCATAACACGATTCAAGCATGCCTGTGGCTATTTGATAAAAGTACTCTTTTCCTTCAACAAAGCTGTGTCCTTCTGTCCTACATTTTAATGTCTGGAGGCACATTTTTCCAGAGGGACTTGAGAATCATGATGCCATGAACACTGCAGTCGACAACCAGGCAAGAAAGGCAAGAATATTCCCCTCTCCAGTCGAACCTGCCCATGCAACAGGATATGAGGGCGGCCAGCCCTTCTAACAAAGGATATCTGTGCCCTCGGCCGCAGTCACCAAACTTCCTGGTGGGTAAGAGGTGTCCTCGCAGACGGAGCCAGGTGGCCTGCTTGAGCTGCCCAGGACCCTATAGATACAGCATCACTAATATTTACCACAAGCGTGACAGGTAAGAGTGGTTAGCATTTTCTGGATAAAGACGTGACCCTCCCAGAGCTTGGTGCGGTCGCCCACACTGTGGGTTTTCCTTTCCGCACAACCCCAGTGTGGAGCCCCCAAGTCATCTATGCTTGGCTGATGCTGGGTTTTGGGGTCCTGGCTCCCTAAGGGGCCTGACTGTGCATCCACAATGATGGAGAGTGGGTCTCACGCAGCTCCTCAGAGGCCTCACCCCATCCCAGCTCCCACCCTCCAGACCCGCAGGCACCCCCCAGGGCCGCACCTCCCGGAAGCCCTCCATAGCCCACAAATCTGACCTAAGTCCTGGTGACTCCTACACTCCAATGGAATCGTAATCCCTAAAATCGAGGTGGGCCTTTGCTAGGGTGGTTTCTACTGAGGATTAATCCCTGGAACAACTCTCTGAATAAAATAAAATAAAAGCTGGCTGCATGGTCAATTACCTTGGTAAACCTCTCGTGGAGATAAACAATATGCAATAATTTCTAAAAAACCTTGCAGTAGAAAAACCTGTTTCAAATTTCTGATTTTATGAACTTCAAAACTAAAATTACATTGAATTTCTGGCCTTTGCCATGAATTCATTTCTGCATGGCCAGGATTCCTGACAGCCCCTTTAGTTTTAAAGGTAATCCACACCTAAAGGAGTCAGAGGTGGATTCAGATAACTAAAGCACCGCTCCTGAGACCTGAGCGGTGACATTGCCTTTGCTTCTATACCAAAAGTCACACAAAGTCTACTTTCCTGGTTTCACTGATTAAATAATTCATATGCTGTACTATATTAAATCAAATTCTACCAACCCTCAACCCCCAAATCCAGCAAGTAAACTGTCCCTTCATAAACTACTCAAGAAATAACGAATGCATCTGAAAGATAATTGCTTTTAATTTTCTAAATTTTCACTTATGCAACATAAAGGCAGATTTATGTGACCTGATAATGACATTTTTACAAAAAACAATCCCCCCCACCCCAACATCTTGGTCAGTAGTATATAAATATTTACAATGAAAAAATAGGCAAGGAAAAAGGAAATCTTCATTATCCATGTCGATTTCTTTCCAATGCTTATCAGGAACTTTGAAAATAAAATACTCCATTAACTTTCTCGTCACTCCTATTTACACGCTGCTTTAGCTGATGCATTCGCGGTATTTGGGTTGCACTGTATAAGAGTATTTTTGTTCTCTATCACTCCTACTTTTTTCTATACTATTTTAAAAATCTGAAATAGTAAATTAAATATAAAAATGTAAACTCTGAAAGGAGAGAAAATAAGAATAAATATGTGTAAAGGTAATGCATTAAGATACAAAGGATCTCACAGAGGTTAATATTTTACAACACTAAAAAAAAATAAAATGCTCTATATATTTTCTTAGTTGGGACATTTTGTTTCAATTTAATTTTTGGTTATGTTAACAAAAATTACCTCTAAAGAGGATGTTAAAAAAATAGCAATGACGTTACCATCTTAACTAATGAATATCCTATCACCCTAATTTTTTCTAAAAGAAATGGATTTTTTAAAGTGACAAATATAAATTATAACATAGAAAGCTTAAGAAGCCTCAGCAAATTATGGTATCTTTTAGCGATGAAGACTTTTAGAGACAAATGTGAACAGTGCAGCCAGCCTACTTGACTTAGGGATTTACAAATGCATTCGACTCCGACATGTGAAACACGACGTGGCTTCTCCCACACGCCGCTCCGCTGAAACATGGCGCACTCGTGGGCGGAAGGGCAGGACACCTGCAGCATGCAGTTCCTGCAGGACGTCAATGGGAATTTCGTGTCTAGCAGTGCAACGAACATCACCCGCAGCTCCCTGGGAGGACCGCGAGCTTCACGTGTGGGAGCTGCGCCGCCCCCTGGTACCCAGAGACACACGGAGCCTGGGCTCCCTGGCTTTGTAATGCTCGTTGAAGTCCAGCCTGAAGCTAAGAAACCGAAGACTCTCGTCAGAGCTGGTCGTCAGTAACACCAAAAACTGCTGCACGATACCCTAAAAAGAAGCAAAAGGAGTAAAATATTGTTTCAGAAAAGAACAACCCACAAACGTATTCCCCGGACCTTAATCTCCTTTGGGTTGGGTCTGTTTTTCCTTCCAGATCAACAGGCCCTTAGTAAATGCCCACCAGGGCAGGTGTCCAGGGAGCAAGAGCTGCTGGGACCCTGGAGTGCACACGGCCAGTGCACCTGCATTAGGAATGGGCGCCCTTTTACAAGGACAAATTAGTGAAGAATACATTTGATTTGAAAACAACTAACCAACAGGTTTTTTCACTTTGTTCTTAAGTTCCACAAGAATAAGCAAAACAGCAAAGTAACAGATGTTAGAACATTCTATTTTGAATACAAAACTCAGTGCCACATATTTCATCTTTCATATGACTCATGAAAGAGGATTTCATCCTAGAGCCCTTGCTGGAGAACAAATTGAGAGCATCAGTCGGGTCTTTGGGTCTAGCTGCTGGACGTGAGGCTGCAGCCGCCCTCTTCATGGGCACTGGCATCGCCATCATCCTGTTACTGAGGGCGTTTTTAAAGATGTGACAGAAGTTTCCCCTAACTCTGATAAGACGAAAGGACTGGCTGCTTCTATTTCAGGCTGAAAGACTTGCATACTGAGTACAGGCCCATCCCCGCCCAGTGCTGGAGCCTGCTGCATGCCACGGGGTGCTGATCTGTTCACAGAACTGCTGGCCTGGAAAGGCCTCATCTGCAGAGAAAACTCACTGAGGCACTGCGTCCTCACCAAGCCCCGCCCAAGTCTTCACCAGCTGTCACTGCCCCTTCCCAGCTTCTGGTCAGAAACACGAATGCTGAAGCTCACAGGCAGGCCTGGGCACAGGCTCTGCTGTGTTGATAAAGTAACTTCACCTCTGAGCAGGCAAACACTGTGTATGTGTGTGTGTGTGTGTGTGTGTGTGTGTCTGTGTGTGTGTGTGTGTGTATCACTGCCTTTTTAGGTGAGGGAAGAAGAACACGCCTAAGAAGTTATATTGCCAAAATATAGACAGTGACTTCCTATTATGTGATGATGTGATGAAACTGAAATACAACGGTCTGTGGAACTACTAAAAGGAAATCTAAGAATATTTCTTCCACAGGTTGAGACTGGATGTTCTTTCACAGTCAATGGCGATAACAGCCTGCCGTCGCTGGCACCGCCACAGAGAGCAGAGACGGATTTCTGCTGTTACAGAAAAGAATCTTCTTTGTAAATCATTACCATTCAGATTTAAGACTGTAATTTGAGTAAAATTGGGATTACAGTGATTACTTTTTAAAAATGTATTAACTCCCTCAGGGAAATGTGTAACCATAAACAAGAACATCGTTGTCTCAGAAATAAGCACACAGACAAATCTTTAAAATTACACATTGCTCCTTTGTAGCTATACAAAGGATTTGTAAGTCTGATTTTAGTGAATCATATGGATCTAACCATTAGGTGTCCATTTTTAAGAAACAGGAATACATACTGTACAAATAACATGAGTTCAAGAAGGCATCGTGTCAAAACACCATCCAACAGGGATGCCTGTTCACGGAACATGACTGGCCAGTCACTACCCCCTTTTATGAAACTTCAACAAAAATGCAAAAGTAGGCCAAGGTCAGACTAAGACCACTTGTAAAAGGGACAACGTTCCTCCTTAGTTATCGTGAAGAAAAATAAATATTTAAAAAGTATGAGGGCCGGGCATGGTGGCTCATGCCTGTAATCCCAGCACTTTGGGAAGCTGAGGCGGGTGGATCACTTGAGGTCAGGAGTTCAAGACCAGCCTGGCCAACATGGTGAAACCCTGTCTCTACTAAAAATACAACAATTAGCCGGGTGTGGTGGCGCGTGCCTGTAATCCCAGCTACTCGGGAGGCTGAGGCAGTAGCATCGTTTGAACCCAGGAGACGGGGATTGCAGTGAGCCAAGATCACACCACTGCACTGCAGCCTGGGTGACAGAGCAAGACTTGGTCTCAAAAAAAAAAAAAAAAAAAAAGTTTGAGGACCTGGGAAGCAAACTAGATGCCCACAGAAAGAGCGAGTGCGGTCTCACTTTCAATTTTGAACCACATGAAGGCACCAGCACACAAACCCACGATGTTGGAGGGCTGGAGGCTTGATGCTCCATGATTAGTGATCAGCGACTGAACAGAAATATTTTTCATGAAATCTTTTCATCTCTACTATCACTAAGATCACATTGAGAAATGGAGGAAATGAGAAACTGGACCCATACATGGAGGCAAAAGCAGAGGGACAGACATGCAGAGCAGCCGTCCCCAGCCTTCCGGGGTCTACACCATGTCTGCTGGCTGCCGGCCCCTCACCCAGGCTGGGCAGCTGTCTCAGGGACAGTCCCCATCGGGAGTCACTGAAAAACCCAAATGAAGGCTACAGAGACGCCTGCAGGTCCCCACAATCCCACCACGGGGGAGCGCAGGGGCCACCCCCAGGTCCCCACACCCACCACAGGGGAGCACAGGGGTCACCCCCAGGTCCCCACATCCCACCACAGGGGAGCACAGGGGTCACCCCCAGGTCCCCACACCCACCACAGGGGAGCACAGGAGCCACCCCCAGGTCTCCACACCCACCACAGGGGAGCACAGGGGTCACCCCCAGGTCCCCACACCCACCACAGGGGAGCAAAGGGGTCACCCCCAGGTCCCCACACCCACCACAGGGGAGCACAGGAGCCACCCCCAGGTCCCCACACCCACCACAGGGGAGCACAGGGGCCACCCCCAGGTCCCCACACCCACCACAGGGGAGCACAGGGGTCACCCCCAGGTCCCCACACCCACCACAGGGGAGCAAAGGGGTCACCCCCAGGTCCCCACACCCACCACAGTGGAGCACAGGGGCCACCCCCAGGTCCCCACATCCCACCACAGTGGAGCACAGGGGCCACCCCCAGGTCCCCACACCCACCACAGTGGAGCACAGGGGCCACCCCCAGGTCCCCACATCCCACCACAGTGGAGCACAGGGGCCACCCCCAGGTCCCCACACCCACCACAGGGGAGCACAGGGGCCACCCCCGGGTCCCCACACCCACCACAGGGGAGCACAGGGGCCACGCCCAGGTCCCCACACCCCAACACAGGGGAGCACAGGGGCCACGCCCAGGTCCCCACACCCCAACACAGGGGAGCACTGGGGCCACCCCCGGGTGCCCGCATCCCACCACAGGGGCCACCCTTTGGCCAGGGTTCTCACTGATGGCACACTGGCACTGCCCGGAGCCCAGGCATACCCGAGTCCCCCAGAGGGTCACAGGGTCCACCATGGGTGCTACTCACACCTACACAAATAAGTGTCAGACTGACAGGGCTGACTCTGCTCTCATCACTGTGAAAGCAACTGTCAGGTACAGAACATGGGCAGAGTGGTGTGAAGAGCCACTCTGTATCCTCATACACACCTGGTAGAAATGGGTCAATATTCGCAACTGTGAGCACATTTTTGGTATAGATTCTTTAAATTCTCCAATCCTCTTATTTTCCTCCTCTTCCTCTGCTGCCGTCACTCCCCACTGGCCCTGAACAATCAAAAGTACCAAATGTCAGTAAAATCACGATGGAAAACAGATTACAGAGTAGGGCTGAAAACAGGTATGTGAGGAGCAGGAGGTGTCTGCTTTTTATGCCTCTCTGTACTGTTCAACACTTTCACAATAATTTTCTGATGCCAGACTGCTCTCCAGCTTACTTTTTCCAGTTAACAATGTGTGTTGAAAATATTTCATATGAACACATTTGAGACTGCCTCTGTTGTTTTTAATATCACATTGTATAACATGTAACAAGGTATATAATTCATCTCATTTCATGGGATGAACAGCCTTCTATCCTTCCCTCGTGCTGTACACGTTTTTATATAACAAAGACAGTATGTGTGAAAGTGGAACCAGCTGGCCCAAGGCGTCAGCACCCTTTAAACTATTATCTTGACTTTAGTGAGAATGCTTCTAGTTCCCTAACCATGATGTACTTTTTGGTACTGGAGATATACCCGTTTATTTCTATTTTTAAGATCATTTTCAATCAATGATGAATTTGATTAAATGTCTTCTCAGATAGCATATATAGGAATTATGTTTGTTTGTTTGTTTGTTTTTTGAGATGGAGTTTCGCTCTCCCATGCTGGAGTACAATGGCATGATCTCAGCTCACTGCAACCTCGGCCTCCTGGGTTCAAGTGATTCTTCTGCCTCAGCCTCCCAGGTAGCCGGGATTACAGGCATGAACCACCACACCTGGCTAATTTTGTATTTTTAGTAGAGACAGGGTTTCACCATGTTGGCCAGGCTTGTCTCGAACTCCTGATCTCAGGTGATCTGCCTGCCTCAGCCTCCCAAAGTGCTGGGATTACAGGCGGGAGCCACCGCTCCTGGCCATGATTTAATTCACTTGTCAAATATGGTGAATTATATTACTGGATTTCCCAAACCTATGCATTCCTGAAATAAATCCTAGTCTTCATAAATTATGCTTTTAAATCTAGCCTTTTTTCAATTATATTTCATGTGAGATTTCTCCATCAATATTTACAACCCAGATTTGTTTTTTCTCAGATAGGGTATCAGCTTCGTGATTCTTCTTACACAATTTAGAAACTTGGAACAGTTCACAGAGCACAAAGCTGACCATCGGTGCGTTTGGGAGTCTTTCTCAGCACAGCTGACCTGACGCTTTTTGGTGGGAGCCCTTCGATGGCTTTGTTTCTTCTTTAGTATTTGCTCTGCTTACAATTTCCTTTCTCTCATGGGGCCAATTTCGGAAACCTATGGAAAATGATTTCCTTCAAGTAGATTTTTTTCCACAGAGCTGAGCGAAAGAGTAAGTTCTTTCTCACTTGTTTTGTATGTTTGTGCCTTCTCCTCCCGCTACCTCTCAGATTCATTCATGGCTTAATTTCCCTCCACTCCTTGGCCCCCCAAAAGGCCCAGCTCTTGGACTTTATTAACTTCTTTGTTTCCGATTCACTGATTTTCGCTCTCATCTTTACTAATTATGTCCTTTGGCTTTTTCTTTAGGTTTCATTCCTGCTTTTCCAACTTTTTGAGTGGGATGTTTATTTACTTTCATTCTCTCCAATTTATTAATATAGGCAGTTATGAATTTTCATATTTCCTTATTTATGTGCATTTTATCTTTCATAGTCTGTAAGAAACTGAAATATTCTTCTAAAATCCATGTGCTTTGACCCATTTCTGCTTGTTTGCTTGTGGTTTTCTAAGTGAGTACTGATATGGCACAAGCTGGGCCTTACAGGAAGCCCACACTGCGTGGTCCTCACTGTGCCCTGCACCTCCCATCACTCCAATGTGCCCTTCCTGCCATGTTTACTGTTTTGTGCTCTGAACTACAACCTGCTTTCCTTTGAAGAATATTTGCTTTATATGCTTTGTTCGTGTCCACTGTTTTCTTTATAAACTATCTACATCACTCGTTCTACACCAGAACTTCCCAATTTGTCTTCTTTTCTCCCCACCAACAACCCTTTTGTGGAGAACGGGGTCTTGCTATATTGCCCAGGCAGCTCTCCAACTCCTGGGCTCAAGCTATGCTCCCACCTCTGCCTCCCTAAGAGCTGGGATTACAGGCATGAGCCACCACGCCCGGCCAGAACTTCCCAATTTGTAGGTCTGCCCGGATAATGACCTTCAGCCCTCAGCTACAAGCCATCCAGCACCCCCACCCAGGGGCATCAAGCAAACACCATCCTCTACTGAGGAGCTTTTTCTTTCATTATGTGGGTTTAACCCAAGTCCCCTGATTGATGTGATGTACATCTGCTCTTAGTTCTGTCTTCATATTTATACCATGCTTTCCGGTTTGAGGGTGATAATCTTCTACTATATCACCTGTATTTCTTCTAACAGCCAGGCAGTGACACTGTGTCCCAGTGGTTACCTTTATACCTTCACTTCATAAAACATATCATCTTCTTCTTTGGATGGTATCAATACTCTAATCTGGGCAATAATAATTATTGTCCTCCTTCCTTTTGCCATCTGATTTTAGAAACATTCTATTCATATCTCTAACATCTTTCAACCTATGTATACCTGTTTTACTTCATTTATGAGCTTTAAACAATATCTTTTGATGCTTGGTTACAAAAGATAAATAACAATATTTACACTACTTCCCATCTTTTCCCCACCAACTTTTGTCTTTTATTTCTTTACACAAATTTTTAAAATATACTATTTTACTGTCGTGTAACACATATAAAAAAGTATAAAAACTCATACATGAACAGCTTAATAAGTTATCACAAGATGAATATGCGCATGTCACCCCCATGCAGATGCAAGCGAGGGCATCTCAGCACCCAGATGTTCCTGTGGCCCCTTCCAATGACCACCTCTCCCCCCAGAGGAGCCCTGGCTATGGGAACAGGGCCTGGTGTGTCTGAGACACCCTGGCTATGGGAACGGGGCCTGGTGTGCCTGAGACGCTCTGGCTATGGGAACGGGGCCTGGTGTCCCTGAGATGCTCTGGCTATGGGAACGGGGCCTGGTATGCCTGAGACACCCTGGCTATGGGAATGGGGCCTGGTATCCCTAAGACGCTCTAGCTATGGGAACATGGCCTGGTGTCCCTGAGACGCTCTAGCTATGGGAACATGGCCTGGTGTGCCTGAGACGCTCTGGCTATGGGAACATGGCCTGGTGTGCCTGAAACACTCTAGCTTTGGGAACAGGCCTGGTGTCCCTGAGACACTCTAGCTTTGGGAACGGGGCCTGATGTCCCTGAGACACTCTAGCTATGGGAACGGGGCCTGGTGTGCCTGAGACACTCTAGCTTTGGGAACGGGGCCTGGTGTCCTTGAGACTCTCTAGCTATGGGAACGGGGCCTGGTGTGCCTGAGACACTCTAGCTTTGGGAACAGGGCCTGGTATCCCTGAGACGCTCTGGCTTTGGGAACGGGGCCTGGTGTGCCTGAGACACTCTGGCTTTGGGAACGGGGCCTGGTGTGCCTGAGACACTCTAGCTTTGGGAACGGGGCCTGGTGTCCCTGAGACGCTCTAGCTCTGGGAACGGGGGCTGGTGGCCTGAGACACTCTAGCTTTGGGAACAGGGCCTGGTGTGCCTGAGACGCTCTAGCTATGGGAACGAGGCCTGGTGTCCCTGAAACGCTCTAGCTATAGGAACATGGCCTGGTATGCCTGAGACGCTCTGGCTATGGGAACAGGGCCTGGTGTCCCTGAGACGCTCTGGCTATGGGAACGTGGCCTGGTGTCCCTGAGACACTCTGGCTATGGGAACATGGCCTGGTGTGCCTGAGACACTCTAGCTTTGGGAACAGGGCCTGGTGTCCCTGAGACGCTCTAGCTATGGGAATGGGACCTGGTGTGCCTGAGACACTCTACCTTTGGGAACAGGGCCTGGTGTCCCTGAAACGCTCTAGCTATAGGAACATGGCCTGGTGTGCCTGAGATGCTCTGGCTATGGGAACAGGGCCTGGTGTCCCTGAGATGCTCTGGCTATGGGAACGTGGCCTGGTGTCCCTGAGACACTCTGGCTATGGGAACGTGGCCTGGTGTCCCTGAGACACTCTGGCTATGGGAACATGGCCTGGTGTGCCTGAGACACTCTAGCTTTGGGAACAGGGCCTGGTGTGCCTGAGATGCTCTAGCTATGGGAACAGGGCCTGGTATCCCTCAGACGCTCTAGCTATAGGAACATGGCCTGGTGTGCCTGAGACACTCTGGCTATAGGAATGGGGCCTGGTGTCCCTGAGACGTTCTGGCTATGGGAACATGGCCTGGTGTCCCTGAGATGCTCTGGCTATGGAAACATGGCCTGGTGTGCCTGAGACACTCTAGCTTTGGGAACAGGGCCTGGTGTCCCTGAGACACTCTAGCTTTGGGAATGGGGCCTGGTGTCCCTGAGACACTCTAGCTATGGGAACGGGGCCTGGTGTGCCTGAGACACTCTAGCTTTGGGAACAGGGCCTGGTGTGCCTGAGACGCTCTAGGTATGGGAACGGGGCCTGGTGTGCCTGAGACGCTCTAGCTATGGGAACGAGGCCTGGTGTGCCTGAGACACACTTCCATTGGGCACTACACCTAGGAGAGAGAATGCTGGGTCAGAGTAGTCCTGAGTTCGGCACTGGTTCCTGCCTAACAGTATTCCAAAGTGGTTATTCCAGTTTATCCAGAACCAGCAGCGTAAGAGTCTTCTCACATCCTCACCAGCATTTGTTGGTGTATGCCTTTAAAATTTTAACATTAAACATCTAAACTTAGTATAGTAAAATAGTATATTTTGAGCTGTTTAAAATTAGCCAGTGCTGCCTACTTAGGCCCAGGCCCCACGGCTCTCAGCACCACAGGCCACGGAGCAACAGTCTCTACCTGTGGGCTTCTGGACCTTACCCTGTTCCAATTACTTGTCTTTCCTTGAGCCACACCACTCTTTTAACTACTATGATCTTATTCGATAACTTAAGGACATACATGTACTCGACTATAAACTTATATCCATGGTGGCTGGACTAATCCATGTTCCCTCCGCAGTGTGTGAGGGTTCCCTTTTCTTCACATCCTCGCCAGCATTTGTTCTTGCCTGACTTTTGGATAAAAGCCATTTTAACTGGGGTGGGATGATAGCTCACTGTAGTTTTGATCTGCATTTCTTTGATAACCCATGATGTTGAGCACCTTTTCATAAGCCTTTTTGCCATTTGCATTGTCTTCTTTCGAGAAATGTCGATTCAGATCCTTTTCCTTTCTTAACTGAATTACTAGAGTTTTTTCCTGTTGAGCTGTTTGGGCTCCTTATATATTCTGGTTATCAATCCCTCGCCAATGGGTAGTTTGCAGATATTTTCTCCCGTTCTCTGGGCTGCCTCTTCACTTTGTTGATTGTTTCCTTTGGGTGCTTGTTAAACTTGATTTGACCCCATTTGTCCATTTTTGCTTTGGCTGCCAGTGCTTGCAGAGTATTACTCAAGACATTTTGCCCAGACCAATGTCCTAGAGTTTCCCCCCAGTGTTTTCCATTAGTATTTCCATAATGTGAGGTCTTAGATTTAAGTCTTTAATCCATTTTGATTTGATTTTTGTACATGGCAAGAGACAGGGGTCTAGTTTCTACACAACCAGACTTTTGTAACAACAACAAAATGCCAGCTTTCCTTCCTTCTCTCTGTACTTCCTCTCAGCTCGTAGCCCTGGCTGGGACCATCAGTGCAGGAGCGTGTATGTCTCACTCTGTCTCAGGGATGTGCTTCCAATATTTCACCCCCAAGAATGATGTCTTATTATAAAATTATTCATGCAAACCTTTTTAATGGGTTTTACTTGGTATTAAATGATATTTTCCATCTATTGAGATGATCATATAATTTTTCCCCTTCAGTTTATAAACATGAATTACAATATCTTTATTAGAATGATAACAGGGAGGGTTCTATTCTTGGAATAAGCTGAAACTTGTTTGTAACACATTATCATGTTGATCTATCAGTGTGATAATACTGTGGATTTCCCAATCCACGTTTACAAGGGAGACTAGGACACAGAGAGCAACAAAAGCTAAACTACCCAAATGCTTTGTTTTGGCATCAGGTTACTATCTTAGATAACTATATTCAATTCTGTTTTATAAGTAAAAGCAATCCCTAAAAATTAAAAGCCAAAATGAAACCACTTAACCTAACTGTGCAGTGAGTTGGTGGGAGAGCCTTACGGGAGCACTTATTTCAAGGACATTACCACATAGAATTTGAATGCATCTATTTAGTGGAAAAATTTTTGGCAAAAAATTTTTAAAAATTATTAGAATAAAAGAAGAAATATTTTTTCCCTCAAAAAAAACTGCAAAAAAAGTAAAACTATTTTCAAAACTATACTGTTCCCATATCAGCAGCAGCATTGAGATTCTTATTCTGAGACAGTCACGTGTATGGGTGCATGCATGGATGCATTATCGTAAGATGGCAAATAATTAAGTACGATCATGTTAGAAACCAATGTTTTCAACACTGGAGATATATTGATAAAAAATGAAACAAGTAAAAGTCCTTTAATCCTACATTTGAATTGGAAATATCACTATAAATTGATATTTATAGCGTGTGAGAAGAAAAGTGGAAAGAAACAGAAGAGCCATGAGGAGGAAGAGAAGGGCCCTTTGGAGTCCCCCACACAATGGCAGCATAAGAACATGGTGGCACCAGGGGGTGCAGCAGGCGGGCGCCGCTTCGGTCCCAGCACACACCCAGGGCTCTGTCATCTTTCCAGGAGGCGACTTGCATGATCTCTTCAGAACTTTCAGGGGACCTCAGGTCGAAATGATGGCTTTGAAGATTATCTTGCCTTTTAAACTTAAATAACTTCTCAGATATGGTTTTAGCTTTTGTGTCTCTTCCTGCATCCTTAAGCAAGTCTGAATGGAATATCCTGAATCAGCGTGGACTTGGCCTATGCATCTGTCCCACTCACTGTGACGGCTAACTGCCCAAGAGAACCTTCCACTCCCACACGGCCAGCGGACACGCCATTAGCACAGGCTTAAAATCCGAAGGAGTGGCCGGGCGCGGTGGCTCATGCTTGTAATCCCAGCACTTTGGGAGGCCGAGGCGGGCGGATCATGAGGTCAGGAGATCGAGACCATCCTGGCTAACACAGTGAAACCCTGTCTATACTAAAAATACAAAAAATTAGCCGGGCATGGTGGCAGGCACCTGTAGTCCCAGCTACTTGGGAGGCTGAGGCAGGAGAATGGCGTGAACCCAGGAGGCGGAGCCTGCAGTGAGCCGAGATCGCGCCACTGCACTCCAGCCTGGGCGACAAAGTGAGACTCCCTCTCAAAAAAAAAAAAAAAAAATCGGAGTGATTTTGGTCGATTTTGAGACAGTTTAGTAATTCTCTAGAAGGGAAGCTTCTTGGGGCACGTGGGCAGTTTTACAAATGGCAGTGGCCAGCATGCACTTGAATGCCTACTAAATAAGCGTCATATATCATCACACATAGATAAGTGACTCTGTGAGGTCATATTCCTTATCACCCATTTTACAAATAAGGAAACGACATCTTGGAGGGGTGAGCCACCCAAAGGCGCAAAGCCAGTAAGTTATAGAGTTAGGTAGAATCGTGAGTATATCCGACTTTAAGTTATCCATAGGGTTGCCTGGACAAGGCCCAGGAGCTTCTGTGTGCCAACTCTACAACACTTCAGAATTACCAAAATTCGCTTTGAATGATGAGAGCCCTTAGCGATACAAATGTTTCCAAAAAATACCAAAGAAATAACTTGTGCACCCAGTGGTTGAGGACTCTCTAAGCTACATATGGTCCTCTAACACAGGTTTTAAGAGAAACAATACTCAAAAGTAAAACTAACCAAACTGTATTGACTGAATAATGTCTTTGACAATCCCAAGAGTTAGTACCATCATATGACATTAAAGACAGACACATGCTGAGAAACGCATCGTTAGGTGATTTTGTCCCTATGTGAACATCGCTGAGTGCCTTACAGAAACCTCAGTGGTACAGCTGACTACACCCTGGCTATATGGCACAGCCTATGCTCCTAGGCTACAAATCTGGGCAGCGTGTGACTGTATTAAATGCTGTAGGCAACTGTAACACAATGGTAAGTATTGTGTATCTAACATATCTAACATAGAAAAGGTACAGTGAAAATATGGCATTATAATTTTATGGGACTACTGTCATATATGCAGTCTGTCATTGACCAAAACATCATGTGGTACATGACTGTATCCTGAAAAAGTAAAAGATTAAACAGATTATAGTAAATAAAAGAAATCCCATAAACAGCCAAACTTGCTTAATAAATCTGAAAATAACCGTTAAGTACAGAAATTTGGTTCATGTACATATACATGTACACACACACACACATGCATGTACCTGTAAACACACATATATGCAAAGCACACACACAAACACATACACATGCATATATACCTATACATATTATATATACATATATACTTGCATTACAGGTATATAAACATACATATAAGGTCTCCAACTTAAGATCGTTTGACTTAAGATTTTTTCTACTTTAACGATGGGTTTATTGGGGTACAGGTTGAGTATCCTTTATCTGAAATGCTTGGGACCAGAAGTATTTTGAATTTCAGATTTTGCAGTATTTGCATATACATAACGAGGTATCTCGGAGAGGGGATGCAAGTCTACACATGAAATTCATTTATGCTTCATACACACCTTAAATACATAGTAGCCTGAAGGTAATTTTATATATTTTTTATAATTTTCTGCAGGAAACAAAGTTTGTGTACAATAAGCCATCAGAAAGCAAAGGAGTCAGGTGTGGAATTTCCCACTTGTGACGTCATGTCAGTGATGAAAAAGTTTCGGGTTTAGGAGCATTTCGTATTTTGTATTTCAGATTAGGGATGCTCCATCTATATTATATTAAATGCACTTTCAGTGTAGAATGTGCTCATTGGGACATAAGACTGCTCTAAGTTGAGGAGCACCTGTAGATGCACACGTTTGCAAAATGCAGCATGGTGCACGATCCACAAGCTTCAAACACAGAGTGATGCAGAGCGGAGGCAGCTGTGGAGATTCCGACGGGTGACATCGGCATTGTGGCACTCAGTAATGAAAACGGGCAGGAGATTTGTAATTCTCATGAATGCTGCTGTTTTTATTTATTTTGTGAAACAGGATGATGATGCCAGTGAGGGTGGCCCCTCCCTCTTTACAACTGTCAGTGATTTCTCGGGACTTCAAACGCAGTATAGGCACATCTCAACCTGTCTGACAATTTTGGCAAGAAAGTTATTTGTTGGCATTTGAGATTATCGTGTGTGGCAAGGAGTTCATTATTCAAATAGATAAATTCACAAGTGTAAAGACCATACCTCAATTTCACGCTGTTTCTTTTTCTCTTCAAACTGTAATCGTCTCTGCAATTCTTCCAGAGCAGCTCTGTATATTGCATCTTGAGCATTCTGAAGTTCAATAATTTGATCAAACACAGCTCTAAGTTGATTTAAAAGTGCCTGAAAGAGATGACAATGTTTTATGAATAGAGCCTCAACCAGCTAAGTTTCTTAAACAAAACATTGATATTTAGTGAAAAGATATTAGAAAACAAGATATCAACTGAAATTCCCAAAGTGTTCATTAGCTGTTCATTCATTCCCTCACCACACATTTCCTGAACCCTCCTGCTGAGCAGCGCTGTGCTGGGCACCAGCAAAACGTGACCATCCTGCACCTGCACCCGTAACAAGAGCAATCGTGACTGCCCAAGTCCCACGGCGGGCCAGGAGCTCTCTGCAAATCACCTCCAATCCTCACAAGTTTACAAAAATGAAGTTCTGCCCAAATTTCAAAGCTAGATAGCAGGTAGTAATGAGTAGAACTATTCCAAGATTGAAAAAAGAATAGGAAAGCATCTCCATTTTTTTTTTTAGATATAGCAAAAGCAGGTAATCAAAAATATGAGAAAGGAAATACTTAGTAAAATATAAAAAGCAAATTCAGCAAGGTTTTTAAAAAATGTATCATAGTTTATACCAGAAATAAAAGGATACCTTAACATGAGGAAAAAACTCCTAATGTTTTAAACAAATATCAGTGTCACAGCAGGTATCTTCCGTTCATTGCTTATAACTACTGCCCAGTAATCTTCAGTAAACAACTACTGTACCTCATTAATCTTTCTCCTATTGTGGCATGGAAGGACACAATGAAATCTACAGCACAAAATCATTTACATAAATTAAAAATGTATACACAGAAAATACCATCTATATACCCAAGGCCATAGAGCAAATACATTAAAGCTGATGCAAACAGCAGGGAAGGGGGTACAGGCAGAGGAGGGTGGAATTGGGGTATTGGCAGGGAAGGGGATAAAATTAAACCCAACAAAATATGAGAGGCTTTTCACGGACCACTGATGGCAGTGTGCTATGACTGAAGAGAAAGGTTAACTCTACCCTCTGCCATCTTAGGTTTGAAAAAACACACTAACAGTCTGAGGGCTGAGCGGGGGTTAATTTCAATAGTGCAGAAGAAAATTGTGATAAAATTCAACACCCACTCATAATTTAAATAAGGCATCTAAGCAAACTAGGACTAGGGCAGAACCCTCTTAGCTTGACAAGGGTCCTATCAGATGTCTTTGCAAACAAAACAGCCAACAATGAAGCAACAAAGCATCATTTTAACGTCAGGAATAAGACTGGGATTCCCTTTGTGCTTAGAGTCAGCCTAGCTAACACTCCGAAGCGTGAAAAAGAAGCAAAGGCAGACTGTGTGAAATGAAAGAAACAAAACTGGTTTTACTGATAAAAAATATGCGCCAAGAAAATATTAGACTAGAAAAATTAGAGATCGAAATAACAAAATCAATACCATTTCAGACCAGCCAAATTTCTCAAATGTAGCAATAATGTAACAAAAGATTTGCAAGTTTATAGGAGAAAAATGACACAACTGTACTTGAGAAGCATAAAAGAAACCGAGATAACAGGAGAGGTTCCAAGCCTGTGGTTGGGAAGACACAATACAGTTGATTTGGGGAGAAACTAAGATGTTGAGTTAACTCTATTTTTAACACAACTTTACAGTTAATGAAGACATTTGCAAAGCCACTTCTCATCACCCATTGTCTAATGGACTAATACTATTCTGCAAAAATATTTTCCGTTATGAAAGCATGGCGATGCTTCGGTTCAAAATTCATTTGCTAAGTCACAGCAGCACCGTTCAGAGTTGAACTGATGTCTGATCTCAAGTGAGACAAAGCTGAAATGAGTATTTGCTGAATGGGTTTTGGAACAAACTGATGCAGGAGAACTTGGTATTCGGCAGTGAACAGCCCATGCTCTCTTTCACTTACTACAATGCACTTATGCAACCAGGTCTTCAGATTACATGGCAACAAAAACAATGTGGACTGATTTGGCAAATGATAGAAGGATGTGATCAGGGGATGCTGTTCCTAACATAAAACCACCACGTGATTAATGCGGCAAACACATCTTCCATCTTACAAGTTCTCATCTTAGAGCTGTTCTGTCCTTTTGACAGGGTCTTAAATAAGCAACATAAAAGATACAGACGGTTTAATCTGTTGTTTTTAGTAAAGATTTATCTAATTTGTTTCTTTATGTAGTCTAATAAAGAATAATTTATTATGTTTGGAAGAGTTAATCCATCTACAAGGTGACCCACTGACATTGACTTCAAGCTCAGGCTGCCAGGCAGGGCTCTGCTGGCAATCTGTCCACACAGGGCACCTGCAGGAGGCCATTCTTTGGCAACATCAGTGGTACCAATTCACTCTGCAATTCACAATTTCTCTCAACAATGTGCAAACAAAAAAACACAAAAACATGCACAGCCTCCAGCTTCAAGATTATATGTATCAGAACCGCCTTGGTTTTCTTAGTGAGTGACATAATAAAAATGTTATACTTAAAATTGCTTATGTCAATAATAGATTGTTTTAATCTGCTTTACATACTGGGTTTATTTATTTTTTTTTAAAGCTCATTTTAAACAAATCATCAAATTAAAGAGTAAAGCCATCAGCAAAGGCAAGTTCAGAAATGACCATGAAGCCTCCGGCATGACACCTTCAACGACGTCAGGTGGGACCAACGCACACGTGAAGACCCCGCTTCCCACTTTCACAAGGGCACTGTGCTACAGGTGGGAAGATTTTCTCCCCCGGATAGGGTTCTTACCAGTGGAAATCATCTAGGGGCAAAAGCTATGACAATTTATCTCGTACAGAAGGTTCACATCTGTAAGTGGACTAAGTCTCCTACATTCTCCGTAAGCTGTGTGGAGTGTTACTTATTTGCCACAACTGGACTGATATCAGTATGGGTATAGTCCTCAGTAGTTCAAACATTTTCTGAAATGCATGAAATCTAATGACTGTAAACACCTCTGTAAAACACACACACCGGCACAAAATAGCAACTAACACCTATCTGCCAGCCACTATGGTCAACATTATACTTGAATTATACAATTCTTACAAATCTGTTGAAGAGACTAGGACCATGCCCTTTTAAAACAGAACACTGGAGTCAAAAGCTATGAAGTGAAACTCCACCCTCGGTCTACCTGGCTGCAGAGCCTGTGTCTGTCTTGCCATGCGACTGCACCGTGAGACAGGCCGTGCTGGCCAACAGCACACGGGTCTAGGAACAGAGAGCTATTTGTTACACTGACTTCCTAAACGTGTGCGGACAATGCTTGTCGGCATCTGCTGAATACAGAGAGGCAACGGCTGGCAGGCAGCATGAAACCGTCTGTGGTTTTACTCCGATAACAAGACCAGGGTTAGTAATAGAGGTTTCAAGGGCCTCAAACCTCAAGAAGTACATTTCTTCTTTTTTTTTTTTTTTTTTTTTGAGACAGAGTCTCGCTCTGTTGCCCAGGCTGGAGTGCAATGGCGCAATCTTGGCTCACTGCAAGCTCCGCCTCCCGGGTTCACGCCATTCTCCTGCCTCAGCCTCCCCAGTAGCTGGGAGTACAGGTGTCCACCACCACACCTGGCTAATTTTTTGTATTTTTAGTAGAGACGGGGTTTCACAGTCTTACCCAGGATGGTCTCAAGCTCCTAACCTCGTGATCCACCCACCTCAGCCTCCCAAAGTGCTGGGATTACAGGCATGAGCCACTGCCCCCGGCCTGTATATTTCTTTAATTATTAATTATCCTCAAAGTATTTTAAACTATTTTTCTGACATAATTTCCACATATTTATAAAAACATGTAAAACACTCCATATAGAAGCAGCTTTGATCTTAACCATTTTTTGACATGATTGATAGTTCTTTAATAATGAAATTCATGGCTGGCTAACCTACATATACTAAAATTTAGATGAAGTAAAGGCCCTGAAGTGGCGTGTTTTCCACTGACAGGCCCTGAGGAGAGTGCAGGCCCAGCTGGAGGCAGCCCCTGCCAGTCGGAAACATCCGTGAAGTCTCGGAGTTCAGGTGAAAAATGCATTTGAAATTTGCCCCCTACTTCACAATATATTTGCTTCAAGTGAAAGCAATGTGGTTCCTTCTTGTCCCAGACCTCAGAATAAAAGGAGAACTCCAGGAAGATTTGCCACATGGAACGTGCAACTTTCAGAACATGGACCCTAAGGGAAAAGAATGTTCGCGAAAAATGTCATACATGTCACCATGGTTTTTTGTTGTTGTTGTTGTTGTTTTGTTGTTTTGAGACAGTGTCTCGATCTGTTGCCCAGGCTGCAGTGCAGTGGCGTGATCTCGGCTCACTGCAACCTCTGCCACCCGGGTTGAAGTGATTCTCCTGTCTCTGCCTCCCAAGTAGCTGGGATTACAGGCACACACCACCACGACCGGCTAGTGTGTATTTTTAGTAGAGACAGGGTTTCACCATGTTGGTCAGGCTAGTCTCGAACTCCCGACCTCAGGTGATCCACCCGCCTCGGCCTCCCAAAGTGCTGGGATTACAAGCATGAGCCACTGCGCCCGGCCTGTTTTGTTCTTATATCGTGTTGCTTATTTTGCTCAGATATTAACCTCAACAACTCAAAAGTCATGGTTTTCTCTTTTGAATACCACAATAGGATACCATTATATCTAGAAAATGAAAAGGTATTATTATTTTCTACCATTTTTACATCCAGTTTAGAGTATATTCTTGTTTCAGCACTACTGCACTACTGTTCCAATTCTCTTCAGAAACTGTACCTTCAACAGTAAACTTTTAATAAAATTATCTGAATTATTACCAATGTGGCTGCATCAGGGCATTTCTAAGATTCCCCCATTTGACAGGAACCCAAGAAAAGAAGATGATTCTTTTGGTTTCTTGTTTCTAAGCAGGTCGGAGTCTTACCCTGGAGTCACTGTCCAGCAGGCAGCGGGAGATGATGGTGTCTAAGAACACCTCGTGTGCAGCAATGATGTGATCCAAATCCTGGGCCTGCTGGACTTTGTTCCAAAGCTCATCCCAAGAACATTCAAGCACCTGGGAAACAACAATTTAAAGACGCTAGATAAGCTCATGTCCTTCCTAGTGTAGCATCACTCATAAAATATATACCACCTATGGGAGGCCGAGGCGGGCAGATCACCTGAGATCAGGAGTTAGAAACCAGCCTGGCCAACATGGCAAAACCCCGTCTCTACTAAAAATACAAAAATCAGCTGGGAGTGATGGTGGGCCCCTGTAATCCCAGCTACTCAGGAGTCTGAGGCAGGAGAATCGCTTGAACCCAGGAGGCAGAGGTTGCAGTGAGGTGAGATCACACCATTGCACTCCAGCCTAGGCGACAGCAAGACTCCATCTCAAAAAAAAAAAAAAAGAAAAAATTATGTATATATACACATATATATACACACATACATACACATATATATATATATATACCATGTAAAAGCCAAGACATGACTTATTTAAACTAAAATCAACACAATGACTGAAGTGTACCTCAAATGTGATGTAATACTGCATCTGATGAATGAAATGGACCATCTCAGAGGCCAAAATGTGACACTGGTGCAGCACCCCGGAGAACTCTGCAAGGGAAGAGTTGACGTCAGAGGTGCAATGCAAGTACACTTACCGACAACGCGCTGTTCTCCCTTACCCACCTGCAAGCTATCTTAAAACAAAAAATCAGTCATTTAAATTCTTGACCCCTTAACAGGAAACAACCTCTCCAGAACCAATTTCTGTGCAGGTCAAGCTAAACAAGAACTTAGCTATCTAACCAAGTAGTACTATACTACTTTACCTAATAAGGGCCTAACAACAAATATATGAAACAAAATATAATTGTATTTAAAAATTAAATACAAAACATTTATTTTATAATAACGCAGTGCACTGAATAAATAGAAGCTCTACTTCATGGCTTTACAATTAGTTTGCCTGCTGTGCATGAAACATTTACTATTCCCTGGCTCTCTGGAGATAAAGGTGACATTTCTTTAAGGAACCGACTGTGGCCTTACCGCCTGTGAGAAAGAGGAGCCTCGAGGGAGGTCAGCGACGAGCTCAGACTCTCCTTTTATCCTTTAGGAGATCACACAGCCATCACCAGGCTGGAAGGTCACCACAGAGCACAGTTCTCTGCTCGCACTTTTAATTTTTTTGTTCAAAGACTATGGCAGCATATTGTTACACTAATGTATGTGATGGCTAAATCAGAGCTAGGCCCATCAGTGAGGTGATTACAAAAAGGCTTTATAACACGGGTCAGCTTGGACATGTTTTGTTACTGCTTCAAACGCCCTCAATGAGTTACCTCGATAACGAGATCAAGACTTGCTACGCATGCAGTTGTGTGAGACATCAGTCTTGCCTCCTCTCAAGACAGTAAAGAAGTGGAACTTAAGCCTCTTTATAGAGGTGTGTAAAAATAACAGTGGCAATGCATACTTTTTAAAAAATACTCTTTCTGTAAGTTAAAGATCAACTGACACCTTGCAGTTTTGCTCTCTTGGTTTAACACATGACAGCTTCGTCAGTAAAGAAAAGTGGGAGAGGAGGAGATAGAATTCTAAGCCTTATAAAAATGTAAATTCTTAAACAGACGATCAACTTATACAAGCATGAAATACATATGTGAATTGTATGAACGCTGTCTGAAGGCACAGATTCCACTAACAGGCAGCATCGCCATCCGACCCTGGCACCCGGTCTCCAGGGACGCGCCGTGCACTTGGGAAAGGAGGAGGACGTACTACAGAGAAGGACACCCTCACCTGCCCGGTGCCTGGGTCTCGGGAAGGGGCTAGAATTC